>NT_187594.1:0-191684 GCF_000001405.40 Homo sapiens
GTTGGTTTTTGGATTGTGAATCAGTGACTGATCAGTCCTTGTTTTCAAGTTGTGGAAAGCAAGGGGGTGGTGCGTCCCCAGGTCCCTGAGGCCCAGCTTGGCTCCCCCTGCCTGAGCTTCCCCCATCCCAGTGCTCTGTGGGGCCTCGCTGGCCCATGTCCTGCAGCAGGGCTGGGCAGGCTGGGTATGGTGGTGCACCCCACTGGGGGTGTCTGGGAAGTGCAGAGCAGGACCACTCTCAGCTCCCAGGCGGGGGCCCAGCACCCTGAGCCTTCCCAGGTTGCCTGGGGTGGGGGTGGTCCCAGGGACTTTATTAACTGGCTCAGTCCTTACTGAGAGCTCTGCACCATATCTCCTCCACACAGGTGCAGATTTTGCTTTTAGTTTTACAAAGATTAGAGCAAGAAAGAAGCTGCTTTTAAAACAAGAAAAAAAATCACTTTCAGTGCACCGTCTCGTATAATATTATATCCTATTGTACCCTGCCGTGGTTTAGGCATCACTGTATTCTCTCATTGTGTCATGTATATATCAAGAGCTAAATAAATGTCTGTTTCATTGAATGTAAGAGCTAAATAAATGTCTGTTTCATTGAATAGTTCAGCTCTGCTTTCACCTCTTCTAATTAAACCAACACCACATGCCACTTGCTACCTCCTGAACAATTACTACTTTTGTGTTTCTTCATTTATCCAACAAACAGCTCCAAAGATGGAACATTCAACTCTAACATAAACCCTGCTGCTTCCATGGGCTCTGCGCCCACCCCCTTGTTATGCTACACTGACATTTAGACCTACTAGAAGGTAACTGTTTTTCATTTATGTGTCCTTACAGGTCCCAATAAGAGTCCCTGAAGAGAAAAGGTACATTGCATACCCAACATCAATTACATTTATCTTCCTTCATATGCAAAGCATCGTATGTTTCCACATTCAAGAAGCAAACTCATGAGTCATCATGGGAACACCATGACTTTTAGATTCAGACTGATCTATATTCAAATGTGGAACTGATTCCACATTACATGTCTAGCTGTAAAACTGGGAGTAATGCATGTATATGACCTTTGTAGATCTGTTTTTTTAATCGGAATAATAGCAATATTTACCTTGCAGGTTTGTTCTGGGAATTCAATGAGATGACACACATGCAGTGCGGCTGCAAATGTACTGATGTTAGAGTCAAAATGTGGGAAAAACAGGGGCCTTTTAGTGTTCTATATGCAGACTAGTCTTTGTAGACTTGCACCCCCATTGACAGTGGAGGCAGTCGTGCGATCTTGGTTTGATCTAGTAATTGACATGTCATTTAGTTAACACAATCTGTTTTAGATGCTTTTCAGACTTTCAGATTCTGTCTCCTACTCCTGAACTTCCCTGGAATGACACCAAGTTGTATGAGGGGTTTACTGTGTCCTTGTGATAGTGGAGAGAAAAAAAATTCAGATCATGTGGAATCCTTAGATGCCCTCTATGCCCAGCTGTGGACAGGCTGGTCCACCTCTCCTTGTCTGAGGATTGCTGAGCTCTGTCTAGCTCTGCCTATCCTTTTGGAGTGAAGCTTTGGCTTCCTGGAGTCCAAGGTTTCAGGCATTTGTGTGTATTCAAGTCCACCCCCACTTTATCCTATCCACTCTGACCCCAAGCTTCTGACAGTTGCCCACTCCTTTTTCAACACTTCCACATCCCTTCTGGAACATTTGGGAAATCTTAAATCCCTGTCATAACAAGTGCAGACAATGGAGAGCCAGGGCTCCATAGTGGACTCACCACCTGAACCCATTCTGCAGTCTTCCCACAGAATTGCTCTGGAGCCATGATGGATCTGGCATCCAGCTGAAGGCACAAGTTGTTCTAGGGGCCTGCAGACTCTGCCTTGGAAAATAATCTACTCCTCTGGTATTTGTGTATTGCCCCATACTTCTATGTTCCTAAAAGAATTTGCATTTGATGTATGATTCTTACGTGGGAATAGGAACATTTTTGTTCTACTTTTTTTTTTTCTGCCTCCATTATCTGACAGGATGGGAAGGGGTAAGCTTTCCTGTTACTTTCCCTTCCTGTCTGAATGCAACTGTCCTATATCATTTGCTCCTCATTCCTCTAAGATTTCAGTCTCAAAGTTCAGCCCAAATGATGAAATTGGCTGTATCTTGGTTTATTCTGGCTACTACAACAAACTACCATAGACTGGGTAGCTTATAAAAAACAGAAACGTATTTCTCACCGTTCTCAAGTCTGGGAAGTCTAAGATGAAGGCACCAGCAAATTCCATGTCTGCTGAGGCCTGTTTTCTGGTTCATAGATGGTGCTTTCTCACTGTGTCCTCACATTGGTGGAAGAGGCGAGGGCTTTTCCTTGAGTGCCTCATAAGGGCACTAATCCCATTCATGTGGATCTGCCCCCATGACCTAATCACCTCCCTAAGTCTTCACCCTCTGATACCATCACCATAGGAGTTAAAATTTCAACATACAAATTCTGAGAAGGCAGAAACAGTCAGACCCTAGCAGGGTGCAAGGACAGAAATCAGCCCAACTGTAAGAAAACTTAGAAAATATATCTAAAACTTTATCCCTGTTATAGATGGAAAACACTTGGTGCAGAGCCTGGAATCTTCTATGAACTTGGATAGGTGAATAACACTGTACTACATGGTGATAGCTGTGAAAGATCCAAGTGTTACACTTAGAACTGACAAATTCAACATATTTTGTCAGACAAGCATTGGGCTCATTCTGTCCATTCCACAGTCTATTGGCTGAACTCTGCTAAACCTATCTGATTAAATAAAGACATCTGTAAAAGTCTTAATAATGGTCACACTACAAAGCTCTTTGAGTAACTAATCCCAGTGTTAGCCAGCAATGAGTCTTAGGGAAGTTCTTCACATTGACCTGGATTCCAAATACCTAATAAAAAAGAGCAAGTGTCAAACTCAGAGTGTGTGTCTCTCTCTTCCTGTTTATTTGTGAATGGCTTTTAGTGAATAGGAAAAGAACAAAAAGTATAAATGCAGCTTGTCCACCACAACAATGTGCTTTTTCAACTTTTAGCTGACTAAGACATAAAAAGTTATAATTTCACTACTTTTTATATAAACATAACTGCATATTTTCACATCTTTGCTTTAAGACTTAAGCTCCTCCAGCTGATCATAAATTGCCAGGAAATGTCTGCCCAGTCTATCACAGTGTCTTAATTAAGCAAAGGCATAGAAATTATATGGGGGCCTTGGCCCGTGGGACTCACTAGGTGTAATGAATTCTGAAGAAGCAGTAGACACAGATTTCCCATAATAAATACTAGTGGAAGGACAACAGAAATAAAAAAAGTTTTTTCTCTTTTCTACCAATCTCTTCCTTTTGAAAAAGATAGCAACGAAGATAGCTTAAAGATAGATCTTTAAGCCTCAATTTTGAGGCCATTTCTTTCTAGAGAATTTTTGGTTTCTCCTTTCCACACTCCATTATAGGCTGTGCTAAGGGACCCTCCTCTGCACTCCTATTGGTAAACAACATTATTATTGCATTATTCACACCTGCTGTAATTGTCTTGTTTATATATTTGTCTCCCCCAATAAGTCTGTGGCCTTGCCTTGTGTTTCCAATAATTCACTCCTCAGAGGGCTTTCCCAGGGGGCTGGGGGCAGCGAGGGGCCCACTGATAAACAGCAGATGCCCAGTAGGCCTGAGGCATGTCTGACACATGGATGATGAAGGAGATGGGAAAAAAGGAGCAGCAGCTCCTGGGATGATATAGTTAAGAGCCCAAGGAGGTGCATTGCTTTAAAATTACTGATCGTAAGAAACAGTTCCTGCAAATGGTGTGGGGCATGCACCCTTCTGTCCATGTGAATTCAGTTGGTAAACACCAGAAACAGAATTCTCATTGGGTACTTGAAGCTCATAGAAATGTCAAGAGTAAAAGGAATGGTGCAGTTGGAATTCCTGTGCAATTTGAAGCTCTCACTTGAAAATGAGAGTGGGACAAGGAACCAGGATGAACAGACCAGGGGATCAAGCAGGAATAATATATGGTTCAATACTTGTCCAGAGTAAGAGAGATGAAATATTCACTGCTTTAGAAAAACTGAAGTTCTCACCTTTCTGAGGTCATGGCCTTCCAAGAAGAGATATTTTAGTTGCAATAAATGAGCTCTTTCTACATGAGGCTGAGGGTTTGGCTTCCTTAATTCTGCAAAAAAAAAATAATAAAAACAGAGAGAGAGAGAAATAAAACACACCCACTGACGTTCAAAGAGGAAGAGCAAAAGCCTGAACTTGCCATATCAATGACTAACTACAGAGTTATTCATTGGAATAAGATACATAGGATTTGCATCCCAAGAGAGGGCACTGACCCTGTTTGAGAACGATCATTTGGTTAAGAATTGTTTAATTTCCTTCCTTTTTAGAATTTGAAACAACAAAATCTATTAAGCAAAAAGTGGTAAGAGAGCATAAGATGCAGGAGACTTTCTCTGTCCCAAAAGACCTTACAGACTTGTTGAGAAGATTGTATGAATAGGTGAAAATCACCAAACGATGGCATATGTGCTTGGCACAGAGTGGAAAATTGGTTAATATCTGTATGGATTGCTGCTTAGCTAATGAAGTCTGTGGTGTATTTACTAGCCTTAAGTACATAATGGTGACTAAACTATGCTCCACCCTGACAAACCATGAGGCCTGCTCTTCGCACCACTCCCACCTCGGGCCTGTGCAATGAATCCCTGAGCTCCCTGTCCTTAGGAGTCACTGCCCTTTGGTCTTGTGAGGCTTTTCAGACCACACCCCTCCTGCCCTAACCTTCTTCCCTAACCTTCTCACTTAATTGCCGCAATTTTAGTTTGTTTGCCAAAGGAAACGAATCTGTGTGACCGTGAAAGTAAGAAGTAATATGAAGTAATATAAACAAGTGGCATAAAGTGTTGTGATGATTTTGTATTGAGATGAGAAGTTGATCAGCTCGAACACAGAAGGAAGGTAGTGCCCTTAGAGGCAGAAGTATAAATTGATGATCCAGGTCTGTCTCTTCGAAGTGTGCACCCTTGAGCAACTTACCAATTCACAAAACCCAAGTTTCCTCATGTTTGCAGAGAAGGGATCCCAGCTGTGGCACAGGCTTTGTTGGGCCAGTGGGGTGAGCGCAGCTGGAGTGGACAGCCTTAAGTCTATTTTGCATGAACAATGGCTTGTTTGAACAGAAATGCTGGTAGGTCTTTTATTGGCGGTGAGAGAGGGCAATAACAAGTAGAATGTAGGTGACAGTCAATCAATTATTTCAACTCATTGGTGACAGTCTTTTGGGAAATGCAGGTTACATACTGTCAGGCCTCTGAGCCCAAGCTAAGCCATCATATCCCCTGTGACCTGCACTATACATCCAGATGGCCTGAAGCAACTGAAGAGCCACAAAAGAAGTGAAAATAGCCTTAACTGATGACATTCCACCATTGTGATTTGTTTCTGCCCCACCTTAACTGATCCCAAAACCTATAAGAACTAATGATGATCCCACCACCCTTTGCTGACTCCTTTTTTGGACACAGCCTGCCTGCACCCAGGTGAAATAAACAGCCTTGTTGCTCACACAAAGCCTGTTTGGTGGTCTCTTCACATGGACACGCGTGACAAAGGGAAATCGTTCCAGCCTTAGAACTGTGCCTTTCTCTGAGGAGGGAGCCACAAAGTGTTAAGGAGGGCCAGGCAACAGGAGCCTAGGCAAGAAGTTAACACTCCCAGACCTAAGCAATCTAATCCCAATAGCGTTCCGGGAGAGAAGAGCACTAAATACTTCCTCAGCAGAGAACAATTGAGGGTCTCCAATGCCTTTTCCATCTCAGGCAGCCAAGTCTCTGCTTCTGACTCCACTGAAGAGACTGGAGGGGGCATCAAAGAAGAGGAGCTCCAGCCATAAAATCAGAAAAGCATGAAACATTTGGTTGGAGGATGAGAAAGACACATAAAAATTCTTGTTAGCATGCATGTTACCTTTAATGAATATTGATCTCTACCTTTACACGTGCTTATTAGCATGCATATTGGAGTAAAACAAATTGGCAGCCACCAGTTTTCAGGAGAGATCCTGAAAAGTTTCAATTAAGCTAAACACGGCAAGGGAAATAAATGTACATGCATTACTACTAATTTAGTGTGAGAAAAGTCATCGATTGCCTATATTTGGTGTTTATTTTTGCAGTTAAATTTCCTTAATAGAAAAGTATTTGTAGGAGCTTTTAGATGAATATTTCTGACCTTTGTCTTCATTCTATTTTCCCCCTTAAGGTCTTCATTTCCTCAAAAGTGAATTCTTTCACCACAGGAATTTTCCCGATCCTTTCTTACTTCCCTGTATTAGTCAGCCACTTACACAGAAATAATGATATGGAAGGACAAAAAAAGATGAGACAACCCATTTTCCTTTCAGCCCTTCCTTAATCATCTGTAAGCCAAAGACAGAAAGCACTGATAGGATGTGCTGATATCAAGAAGTGAAAAGACAAAACATTGGAGATAATTCAGTGCTAGGTCTCCACTCTTCTGGTTAGAACAAAATACATATGTATCCATGAACTAACAAATACAATTTGTGAAGTTTTAGTGATTCTGCACACAGGTTAAATGTGTTAAATTAAATATTTAATTTAAAATGGGGATTGCACAGTTGATTTGCAATCTAAGATATTCTATCGCTAGTTTATTACTTTGGGCAAGTTATCTAAAAATCTGTGATCCTGTATTCTATCTTTAAAATGAAAGTAATAATATTTACTTTCCAGTGTTGCAGTGTGAATAACTGAAATACTCTAAGTAGTAGTTATTAATCTCAACAATCATTTATTTGGCTTCTGATATATACAAGAGCCCATTTGAAATTCAAAATAAAATATAGTTTCTGATCTCAAGAAATTCACCATTCAATGGAATAGACAAGATTATATACATATAAATAGAATGAGATTTAGAAGTGTCAATAGAGGTAGGTACAAAATGCTGGGGAATATAGAAAAGCATCATTCTAGGGGATGGGTGAGATTTCTCCAGGTAGACAAAATGGGTAGTTGTTCCCATCATGGGAAGGGCAGTGAAAAGACGTGATGTGGTGCAGCAGCAGCGTGACACACTGCACAGCCAAGAGGAGGTGGAAAAGCAACCAGGGCCTGATCACATTCACCTGTTAAGAAATTTGAATTTCTATTGCAGTTTGTCTCTTAAATAGGATCTTTCTCTGATACACCATGATCAACTGGTTCACAAAATAAGAACTCTGAATCACCCAACTGAATTTTCCTGGTGGACAGATTTTCCAGATTTCTAAAAAATGGGTGTTTGAGCATAAAGTAGCTGGTATCCTCTGTATTGTCATTAACGCTGACACAGAAATTCACAAGGAATAACAACATCCAGAATTTTCTGTGCAGGCTATTTATAGACCAAAGCCAGAGCAGTTATAGGAGTTCTGTTATTCACCCAGGATGATATCCCAATTCATTCATTCACTCATCCTGCAAAGGTTGCCTGGCCCTGCTCAGGCTGACATGCCCCCACCTCCAGATGTTGAGCTGCTTCATAATCACCAAGCAGTGGCACCTCATGCCGTCCCATTAGAGAGTAGCATGCAGCCCACTTGTTGGGCATGTTGATGCAAGCTTAGGAAGGAAAACATAATTCACTTTTGCCAGTGACAGAAATGTTAACACTTACTTGAAATAGCTGATAATCTGACAAGGAGAGCTAAAGGATTACTGTATTTCATGTGGCTAATGAGAAAAGCTGTTTAAAAGCCATATGAAAAAAGACTTAATGTATGGTGACTGAGTATTGCTTTAATGTATTATGTGCCATCAACTATTAGAATGATTTTCCCCTCTTCTATTGCCATAGATTTTTGCCTCTTTTCTCTGGGAAGAGATAATAGAAAGCAGCATCTATTCAACAGAGACTTTCCAAAGGAACATTCATTCAATAAGTATTTCTTGAGCACCTACTGTGTGCCAGTCACCACACTAGGCATTTGGGATTCAAGGTCTCAGACCTCTCAACAGGGGCTTTTTTTGGAAAGAATTGATAGGGGAAGACAGTAGACAAAAGATATTGAAAAATCATGTTTGGGATTTAGTTGATATATGAAATAATCTTATTTAACTTTCATTTACTAGATGAGGAAACTGAGGCCTAGAAAACCAAGTAATTTGTGGAGGGGGCATGGCTAATTAGTGGGAAACCCTGGCCTGGATCCATGATGTTTTGCTTCTCTTTTTGATGCTGGAGCACAGTCTCCTGCAGTCACAAGAAAGAACTATGAAACGATGTGTTTGCAGCAGGGCAGGAAGCCCCGTAAAGTAAAATCCCACGGGGCTCCAGAGTCCCTCAGCATCCACAGGGGGCACTCGAGTCCATGACAAAGATGCCTTCAGTTCTGTCCACACTACACAAGAACAGGCTGCTTCACCCTCTTGCACTGGAGGGCTGCCCTCTTCCTGGTGGTTTGTCCTTGCCCAGTGCCCCTCCTTGCTATCCAGGGCACTTTCAGCACAGAAGACATTATCAGGAAACAGCTACATTCCCCCACCCCCACCCTCACCAGTCAGCGAAATTAGCGTTTCTACAGCTGAAATAATCAGGTCTAAAGCCAAACGCCTTTCTTTATTTCTTCCTTCTTTTCTCTCTCTCTCTCTCTCTCTCTCTCTCTCTCTCTGTCTCTCTCTCTCTCTTTCTCTTCCTTACCTTTTAGCGTGTGCCTCATATTCAAGGTACCAGGTACCAGGTACCATTCCTCCTTCTCAGGACTTGGAGCTCCCTATCTCTCTGAGATACTGTGATCCAAAAGCAACGTGACTCCATTCTCAGATAAGACAGCAAAACTTCTCCCCAAACACTTGGGATCCTTACCCCCGGCAATGGCAGGGTTGTGTGTTCCTTTGCCAAAAGATTACTATTGCAGGCGTCAAAACTGACAAGGGAGCCCAGAAACTAATGCAAATGATTAGGGGCTCCCCCTTCTGCCTGCCCTAATTTCTAGGTGAGTGTGGCCCACTTTGGTGACAACAAGGAGCGGGAAGCCATTGACGTGGTTAATGCATTACAGCCACCTCAAATCAGGGTTTTTTCATACAGAGGTGATCACAAGCAGTGGCCACACAGGTTAAGCCATGTGGATCTACAGACCCCTCATTTACTTTTACTACAATGTCAGAAATTCCTGAGATTATGGGCTCAGTAAATTGATCTAAATAATTCAAGGCTATTATACCATAATTCTATTCTTTACCTGCTGCATGAAGTAAATTCTTCTTTTCATTCTCCCCTAAATTGGACCTAACCATCCTCTAAATTGGACATTAAAAACCATGTGTTTTTCCACCCTTAGTTTTTGTTTGCTGCATTTACAAAAGGCATTCTTTGTTGTAATTTCACCGACATAAGGAGTTTCACTACCTCCACCACTCCATGTATCTGGCACAGCTTCCTTTTGGATCAGCTTTGCCCTTGGCTCAGCTTTGCCCTTGGCTCACCTCACTCTTGAGGTCCCAAAATGGCAAACACACTCGTGTCTCCCACTCATTGCTTTGTCTGTCGCACCCACTGCCTCACCTAAATTCACTAACTTAGCATATCATGTTTCTATAAAACAAATTAATACATTTCCCTCCTCCCACAAAAGATGTTTACTTCTAATCAATCTTAAGAAACACTACTAATCCTAACACTATTAGTAATACTAATAAAATCTCTATCATTTATGATGTACTTAACATGGGCCAGGCTTGGGCTAAATGCTTTATATGTATTACCATGGTTAATTCTCACAATAATCCAATGTGGTAGGTATTATTTTTACTATTTTTATTTCACAAATGAGGGTCAATGAGGTTGGGTAAATTATCCAAAGTTATTCCAGTTATAATTATTTATGCCAATCTTCAAATCTAGGTCCTTGTGACTCAAAGCCCACTGGTTTATTAGTCCCTCCTAGCTCAACCTCTAATTTGTTCTCTTGGAGCACTGCAGAGAAGTCAAAACACGATTCTGAATGACGAGCCCTGGTCATTAACCCTGATTCTCAGAAGTTGTCATCTTCCAGATTCTGCAGTCTCTGTGCCTTTGCAGCCTGCCTTCCTGGGAAAGGGAAGGTTTAGTTCTCAGAATTTTCGTTCCAATTAAGTAAAGCCATGGTTGTGTCTTTTAGAAACTGAAAAACAAAACAAAATTCTATCTATGGTAGTTGGATGAACCAGCTAAATTGAAGGTACATTTTGTCCTGAAAAGAGAGGGTAGAGTTGGTGTTAGAAGACTTTCATTCATTTACCAGATCCACCATTGAGTATTTTTGTGATCTTGATCTTTCTGACTTCAGTTTCCTCATCTGTGGAAGGGGAGAATATCACCCTTCTTCCAGAATCCTTGGGAGGATTCAAGAAGCCCCTGCTTGAGAAGGCTCTGGGCACAGTGCCTGGCATGTCATCTGCCGATGTTCTTGTGGGTTGTGTTTGAGTCTTAATCTATTTGAATTTCCCTGAGATATCTATGTAGGAGCAAGTAAAATCTGAAATCAGATCCTGATCTCTTTACATGTTCTTCCTTAGGCTTCATTAGTTAATAAAATGTTACATTTATCAGCATTCTTTTCACCCCTACGTCTGTATTACATGCATATCACAAAGTTTGTGGAAAAAAAAGTGTTTCCCTTCCTTATCCTTTGGGTCTTCTCCTTGAATTAACCTCTGTTTCAAAATACTGGGAGCTCAATGTGAATAAAAGACACAAAGTTTGCCAAACTAGAACTCAGGTCAGTGTTCAGGAACCAAAATCTTGCTTTATTGATACCTACAGAAAATTCCCGGGATATTCACAGCTATTCTCAGTGCTTGCTACATCACAGAAATGCCTGTGATCCTCTGACCTTTTGATCAATTGCTCGCCTATCGTCTAACATCTTCTGCTAAGTGAAGAGCAGGGTATCCCTAAGAGTAGGTGTTACTTATTATTATTATAATATTTTTTTTGAGACAGAGTCTGGCTCTGTCGCCCAGGCTGGAGTGCAGTGGTGCGATCTCGGCTCACTGCAAGCTCGGCCTCCCAGGTTCACGCCATTCTCCTGCCTCAGCCTCCCGAGTAGCTAGGACTACAGGCGCCTGCCACCATGCCCGGCTAATTTTTTGTATTTTTAGTAGAGACGGGGTTTCACCATGTTAGCCAGGATGGTCTCGACCTCCTGACCTTGTGATCCACCCGCCTTGGCCTCCCAAAGTGCTGGGATTACTGGCATGAGCCACCGCACCCGGCCAGGGTGTTAATTATTAATATGTATTAATACATTGCATTACCCTTTCATTGGAGTGTTTAAAAGTGGCGGGGGGGAGTTGTTGCTTTAAGGGGAGTTATGCTTATTTTTTTTTTTTTGTATTTTTTTTTTTCCTTTTTCTGGAGAACGAGGTCTCCCTATATTGCCCAGGCAGGTCTCGAACTCCTGGGCTCAAGCTATCCTCCCGCCTCTTGCCTCCCTGAGAGCTGGGATTACAGGCGTGAGCCACCGCGCCTGGCCAGGCTTTTGGATCTAGTCAAGTTTTATGAATTGTTGTCCATTTGAATAAGCATGGCATTTTTCAATAAATCATTGCAGCCTGGATGAGTTTGCCCCATGCACCCTCCAGTCAATTGTCCAGGAAAGAGAAATGCCTGAGTGGAGATATAATGTTTTTCTTCATTTCAAATATATTCCATTTAATTTTTCTAAAAACAGCACTCAAGTTTTGCTGGAAGTTCTGCCTGAGCTCAGCCCATCCATGTGGATTAAACAAGTTGATTCTTCCTCTGTCCTCAGTGGTGGGCATTTGACCCAGAACTAGCCAATTAGCATGCAGCATTCCACTGGTTCAGTGATGGGCATGTGACCCAATCAGAACCAATCAGAACTAATCCCAAGACCTCCCCCTGAGCTTGTTCCTCATCTGAGAGACAGAGAGAGAGATGGAGAGAGAGGGAGAGAGAGAGAGAGAGAGAGTGTGTGTGTGTGTGTGTGTGTGTGTGTGTGTGTGTGTGTGTGTGTGTGTTTGTGTGAAGGGATGTTGGCGGAGGGGGACACGTTTTATGTGGGCCCATGTTAGAAAGATTGGGAGGGAAGAAAATAATGAGCATGATCCTTTCCTTAAAATCATGAAGAATGGGTGTTTTAAAGAGACAAATATGCAGATCAAGGCCTGTGTTCTTTCTCCTCGCCAAACTGGCTTCAGACCTGTGTGGAATTTAGGCAATGGTGCCCTTCCAATGGCAACAACAGGAAATTTAGTGTTAGCAGGTGCACTTCCCTTCATTGATAAAAATCCTATGGAATTAGGTAATTCAAAATTACCTTGAGATGTAACTTTGAATTTAGAAAGATAGAATTGAAAGAAAAAGTGATGGATAATTTCTGGTGAAATGAATGGGCCTATGAAATATGTATTTCTCTTCCCATCTTGCATCAACTCATTTGGTATTTCAGTTTGTGTAATAGTTAAAACTCCTGGCAGAGCAGAGGCAGTAATTGCAAACAGCTGTAAAGTATTACTCATCTTGCTGATCAAAATGACTTCCCACTAAATAAACCATGAAAAAAGCTTTTCCAACCACAGAGAAGTGAAGTGTAAATGATATACAGACTACCATGAAGAGATCAACAGATTGCATTTTCCTATAACTATGGTTTTCTATAGCTACAGTTACTTTCAAAAATGGCTTATAAACTCAGCTAGTTCAGGAAAAAGAACTTGGATAATAACATTAAGATGGCAGTGGGGATCCTGGGAAGTGTTTGAAGTTACAAAGCTTTTGGAGAGCCATCTTGGTTCCCTTCTTAGGCTTTCCAATGGATGAAAACAACTTGCAATGTGGTCTTATTCTTGCTTATTTTGGATATCACTCCAGGTCTCTTGCCCTTCGTATCTGAGAACCATTAGCTGGACATCCATGTCTTGGTCTTTCTATCATGGTTTTGAAGGGTGATGGACCCATGGTGGTGGCAGCGTCAATATGTTGATGCTACTGCCATGGGCATCTGACTGTGAGCTTCAGGTCCTGATAAAAGAATAGTCCAGTGCTGGAGTCACAGAGCTGACCTCTGATGTCACTCCAGCTACTTGCCCACACTACATTGCCAGCTCCTTGTGATTCTTCTAAACTAGGAAATTCACTGGACAGTATTCACCAAAAACCAATAAAAATTTCTCTTCACACTCAGACATAAATCTCTCTCCTCTACCTATCTCCTTTCCCTAAATCAAGACTCATCTATAAATTGATACTAAGCCTATCATTTCAGTCTTACTGCTTTTTTCATTTTTAGTTGAAATGTAATTGTACATATTTATGGGATACAGAGTGACATTTCAATATATGTGTACAATATATGTATTTCTATATATGTAATGATCAAATCAGGGGAACTAACGTATCCATCACATCAAACACTTATCATTTCTTTGTGTTGTAAACATTCAAAATACTCTTTCTTAGCTTTTTCAAAATATCCAATAAATTACTGCTAACCATATTTACCCTACAGTGCTGTAGACACTAGAACTCATTCCTCCTATCTAGCTGTAAGTTCGTATTTGTTAACCAACCTCTCCCTGTCCTCTCCTCCCTGTTGCTTGCCCCAGCCTGTAATAACCAGAATTCTACTCTCCACTTCCATGAGCTCAGTTTGTTTTTTTTTAGCTCCCACATATGAGTGAGAACGTGCAAGATTTACAATTCTGTACCTAGCTTATTTCACTTAACATAGTCTTCCAGGCTCACCCATGTTTCAGCCAAGGACAGGATTTCATTATTTTTATGGCTAAATAGTACTCCACTGTGAATATATACTACATTTTAAATCTATTTATCTGTTTTTGGACATTTAGGGTGATTCTAATCTTGGCTACCATGAATAGTGCTGCTATAAACATGAGGGTGCTCGTATCTCCTAAATATGCTGATTTCCTTTCCTGTAGATAAATGCCCCATAGTGGGAGTGCTGGAAAAAAAAATTCTTTTTCTTTAAACCTGATCATGTCTGTCCTCATAAATGCATGTTAAACCCATCTCTCACCATCAATGCCACCCCACCCCGAGCAGTTGTTCACTCTTCTCTTCCCTCGTTCTCTGCACACCGTGTGCTTCCATACCCCAGCCTCAGGCCTTTCTATACCATTTCCTATTTGGGGCACACAGTTTTTATTCAACTTGCGTGCTGTCCTTTGAGAATCTACAATGTGGTTTGGATATGGCACTTTTTATCAGGATGTCACATCAGAGTTGATAAATTCAAAGTAATATCATTCTTTTTCCTGCCAAAGTCAGCTCCTCCTTTCCACTGCACTTTCCTGCCAGTGCCACCACTTTCTCCTGTTGTGTAGGGAGAACACAGGTCACCTCCCTAGCATGAAAAGGTGCTCAATAAAGATTTGTTGAATATATGAATGAATGTTCTTAGAAGACACCCTTGTACCTGGACTGGTCATTACATAGGTGTAAGCTTTATTCTCTAAAAGGGGTGAGAGTTTATGCTAAGATTGTAAGCAACCCTCAGGGCAGACTCTGGATGCATATTACAGAACTGCTGAACTTGTGGAATGTGCATATTTATACTGAAAATATTTAATGCCATATGTGTAAGACTTTTGCCAACTGGAATCTGAACATCAACAGCTTTGAAGGGCTTATTCTACCTTCTCAGCACAAAAATACTTTTTATGAATGCACATATTTATGTGCAAAAGTATAGAAAATGGACTTTAAAATATACAACAAATTCATTTTAGCAATTGGCCCTGGGGACCTAGAAGGAGAATGAGATTGGGGTGATAGGGGTGGAATATTAGCTAATAATGCTTTATGTTATTGAAAATAATTACTGAAAACCAATACAATAAAATATTAACATGTTAATTGAGTATAGTGCTTACATTATTCTTTACATGTTTTAATATCTTTACAATTCCTTTTTTTGCTTTTGTTAAGGAAGTCACAGTTTAATTGGCAGCATATCTATAACGGTACATGAAATAATGTCTGATTTCTAAACATTGACATCCTACATTAGATGAAATACATTAACCATTAAGCTTTGATATTACACTATAAAATTAATTGAAGAAAGCCACCCCTTTTTCTTTCTTTTTTTTATGGTTATTATGTGGCCCATATGATGTGCAGGAGTTTTTTTTCTAGGCTTTGATTGTTTTAAATAAAATCAGAATTTGTTAAAGTTCAGTTAACACTCAGCTGTGAACCCTAAGCTACTGGGGTCTTTTTCAATGGGGGATCTTTAAGCATTATTCCAAACTATTCTATGCTAATTGATCTATTGATAATTTATAATTTATTATTAAATACATTCAATTTCTTAAAAAGAAAAAGCAAAGAAACAAAGGGAAACATGTATTACAATTTAAATAAAGGAATTAGCAGTTGAAAACAAGAAAACCTATTCTGAGCATCCATACTTCTTGGCAACCAAAACAATCAATGAAATCAATGCATTGGGTTAAAGAGTTCCCAATTTTCCACTATGTTACCTGGAGGAAAAAAAACCTGTATCATAGGGTTAAACTTTGGGAAGGATTTTCCATAAGAATCTTAATATAAAGGTTCTTGAATGACATAATGTACAAGGTCTTTGATAGCAATGCGACCCACAGTGCAAAGATGTTTTACTAGTCCTGTTGGTGTCTCAAATTGGCTCTCAGTAAGTAATCTGGACATACTGTGAAATTATAATTCTGTGTAGACAATTCAACTTAAAGGGTTAGAGTGATGCAATCCAAATAGATGGCTTTCTTCTGATCTGGCTTAACAGAAATCTTGAAAAATCTGGGAGTAAATGTTTAATATATCCTCAGTTCTCGACCACTCTTCTTCCCTGATAGACAACATCACAGGCAGGACATCCTCCCAAGGGTACACACAATATTATGTACAGTTCCCACACAAGAAAGCACATCATAATCTTAGTGAGAATGATGTTCTCATAAGGTCAGTTATACTCAGTGTGCATAGTTGTCCAAGTGTGAGTATGAAACCAAGTTATTCGCAAGTACCACTACTCTGATTATTAGTAATAACAATCCACTTGTGACATAGCTTTTCTTTGCTGAAACAAAATATTGTTTTGACATCATGGTCAAAACATTGGTCTTAGGCCAATGCTCTCTATTATCTATTGTTGTTGCCAAGCCTTTGAGAAGTGTTTTATGTGGGGCAAAAGGTCCCTTCCTGTCTCTTTGGTCAAAGCAAAGGAGGAGTACAGATGACTGAGAGAGTGATCACGCTGCTGTGCCCACCTATGAGGTAGACCTTGTTCCTGGATTGGGAGATGTTTTATGCTGAGGGTGCAGTAGAAAGAGCACACAGCTAGCAGTAAAGAGAGGTGGCCCTGACTGCAGCTCTGCCTCTGACTTCCTGAGTAACCTCAGACTAGTCATGCAGTGCCTGCTCCCACATTTCTTTTTGTAAGCTGCAAGGATTGAATCAGACAATAGCCTCTAAGTTTCTTCTGAACTCTCATACTCAGGGATGCCAATGATGTTGGCAGGATGAGCTACATAGATTGTAGGGCCCAGTGAAAAATGAAAGTACAGGGCTCCTTGTTCAAAAATTAAGCATTTCAAGATGCAACAGCAGAGCATTGTAAACCATGTGCACAACGCTTCTGAGACCAGGGCTCTCTGCAACTGCCCAGTTATAGCCCTTGAAGATAGGATGGTGTCAGCTTCCCGTTACGAAGCTGATTTATCACTCAGGGCTCAGAAGTTGGATCTTCCAGGCTGAAAGTGGGAGGAGAACACATGTTGTGCTAGTCACAGCCAGAGATAACACAAAGACGGCCTAACAAGGGCCCAGGCACAACACACATTGTTATAAAGAAGAGAAGAGGGTCACCTAGTGACTCAACACAAAAATGATCCTCTGTCTACATCTCCTCTCCAGGTTTCAGTCATGGTAAGGACTGTCCCAGGTTTCAGAGCCTTCAAAGAAGATCTTAACTCTGAAACCGGTGCAAAGTCTGGGGATAGCAGGTTGTGTACCACCTCACTCTCCTGTCTCTTTCTCTCTGAATAAACATCTTTTATCAGGAAGCCCAGCAGAACACAGTCAAGAAGCTGATAGGTGACTGCTATTCCCCTCTCGCTGAAAACGCAGCCACTTGGAGTCAGCTTGATGGCAGTGGTGGCTCAGGCCTTGAACACGTGAGAATAGACTATGTTGTCAAGATGCTGATGAACCGCACTTCTGCCTGACTTGATGCATTGTCTCAGGTCTCAGCACTCAAAATGGATGCTCATAATCCTACACACAATCCCCAAATGTCAATGAGGATCATTGGCCAACCATACCTCAGTGCATGGGGGGTAGTAAGGTTATCCATTAAGGCCCCACCTTCCACCTCACAAATACTTCTGATCAGAGGGATGAGCTTGGGTAATTTTGGGATGCATGACAGGATGGTGTCAGCAGACTGGCCAAATCCACATTCAGTATTTCCCATCATGAGGTCTTTGGTGTCAGGTGACATTAAAGAATGAGAGTGGTGAAGAAACACCTCTGGTGAACCACTTTCCAAAAGGCTGAGAATGCAGCTTTCAAATCACTTCCATTACTTGGCATAAAGAAACTGGAAAGCTAAGTGAAAGAGAGAACACAGGGCTGAAGGTCAGAGGACCTGAGATCCTGCTCTCAATTCCTGCTTACAGACTGAATGACCAAAGGTAAGTCATTTGCCCTCCTGTATTTCTGCTTTCCTATTGCAAAATGGCAATAAACTACTTCCTTCATGGGGACCCTATGACCAGAAAATGAGGCAACCTATAAAACACACATTTAAATATAAAATCACTGCTGGGCATGGTGGCTCACGCCTGTAATCCCAGCACTTTAGGAGGCTGAGGCGAGTGGATCACCTGAGGTCAAGAATTTGAGACCTGCCTGGCCAACATGATGAAACCCCGTCTCTACTAATAACACAAAAAATTAGCTGGGCATGGTGGTGGATGCCTGTAATCCCAGGTACTCAGGAGGCTGAGGCAGGAGAATCACTTGAACCTGGGAGGCAGAGGTTGCAGTGAGCCAAGATCCTGCCACTCCACTCCAGCCTGGGTGACAGAGCAAGATTCCATCTCAAAATAAATAAATAAAAATAAAATCACTCTGCAACTAGTGGGTACAACTTGAGTTTCTTTTTTTTTTTTTTTTCTCTGTCTGTTGCCCAGGCCATCATGCACACTGGTGCAATCTCGGCTCACTGCAACCTCCACCTCCCAGGTTCAAGTGATTCTCCTGCCTCAGCCTCCTGAGTAGATAGGATTACAGGGGCCCACCACCACGCCTGGCTAATTTTTGTATTTGTTGTAGAGACAGGGTTTCACCATGTTGGCCAGGCTGATCTTGAATTCCTGACCTCAAGTGTTCCGCCCACCTCAGCTTCCCAAAGGGCTGGGATTACAGGCGTGAGCCACCATACCCGGCCCAACCTGAGTTTCTTAAAACCTCATAAGCTTCATGGATTCAACAAAATAAGTCATGATTATGATAATAATTTTTAGAGGTTCCCGTAAGGTAGAAACTGCTGTTATTTCAACTTCCCAAAATGCCTTGTGGGGCTCTAAGGCTATCTGTAGAATCTAGAAAGAGACATATATTCAAATTAGCTATGTCACATCAAAATTTGGAGAAGAAGTAAAAATAAAGAAATTTAAGAGATTTACTCCACCAATCTCTTGGTAATTTTTGTGTTCATTATCAATAAGCTGTGTGCATCCTTTTAGAGTGCTACTGTTTGAGAAAAGCAACATTGAAGTTGCTGCTGATCTTGGTCATGCATTTTCAGAGCGTGCTTATCAGCAGACTTGGATGCTGTTGGGGTTCTCTTTCTCATTTGCAATTTTTCCAAGACAGGCTTTCTGTTGCCCAGGCTGGAGTGTGTAGCTGCTGTTTCTCAATAGACAAGTCCTAGAAGTAGAAATAATTCAATTTTCATTCACTCTTAGCTCTTCTGCCACTGGTGTTCCTCTTTGACCCTGACAGGGCTGCACCTGTCTTCCAGGCCTGATGTAGCACTTGTATGGTTTGCCACTTGCCAGAAGATCCACAAGACATTCTAAAAGCCTTTTGCCCAGTAGAGACCACTCCAGTGAGCACAAATTGTCTAATGGGTTTTTTAGGTGGTCTTCCTCCTTAGCTCGTTTTTCTCCCAGAACAAAGATATCAAGGTGTTGATTTAGCGGCAGCTCCGGAAGGACAATCCAGCTTGGTTGAAATCTTTTCATTATAATAGAAAATATAATAGCAACAGTAGCATCCCCTGTTACACTGAAATTAAATGACTACTCTTTCACTGTTGGGGTGGCAAGTATAATTTCTATCACTTCTTTGGAAAGCAATACAACTTAACTAAAGATCACCAAAATGTTTATACTTTTTGGAACCAAAAACCTCACTGAAAATAATTATTCCAAGAGTATACTTCAACAGAAAAAAAAAACAAGTAATATACATGTGCATGTTTCTCCCTGTGAAAACAACAACACAGAATTTATTAAACAAGTTTTGAAACACTTGGCTATGTGGTAACATGGAACAATGTTCTCCTATAACATTAAAGGATAAAAGCTTAGAGAATAGAATATATTCTATGACTGCAACTATGAAATAAAACATAGATCTACATAGGGACAAAGGTGATAAACATGCAAAAACAGGTGTTTGGTTCATGGATTATGTGTATTTTTCCTGCATTCAAATTTATCTTTATTGTTGCTTTTTTATGTTCCCCCCTCCTCCCCCCAAAAAATCCTAAAGATCTTGAATATGCCCCTATCAGTATTTAACATTTCATCTGAAACTGGGTCTAGATGACTCAATCTGCTCCAGTTTTTTGAACAAGATAAATAGCAAGGTTATTCTTTCCATTGTTTTTTTTTCTTTCCTTAACAGCCAGACACAGGTCTTTAATTACACAGCTGGCTTCTTTGTTTGGGATACGTTACTTTCAATCATTTTCCTGATCCTCTGCATGATTTACAGAAGCTGAGTGGGAGGCTTTAGCATTTCCATGGTCCTCCTTCTCCACTACCATGAGATTCTTATGTGAATTTTTTTTAGAGCCATTATTCTCCATTTACAAAGGCAGAATGCAGTGGCAGGAGCTGGGACTCTGGGAAACCAACGGCCAAGAATTCAAACTACAGCATACTATGAAATACTCAGATAAGATGTCCCCATCATATTCTATCACTGGGCAAAGTAAAATGTAAACCACTTACTCAAAACAGAAAATATTGTGGGTGACAGTGACACTGGTATTCAGAAAGATGAAGAAATGCAATTAAGAAACCAGGCAAAGAAGTAAACATGCCATGTAGCTTACGAAAGACCAGCCACATTGTGTGTATTTTAATATTATTTAATGGTAACACCTAATAGAGCATCATGATTGTGTGAACTAAATTTTCAGTCATAATGAATGCTACAAACTTCACCTCCCAAGTTTAAATACGCTACAACGTCTTGGGAAAAATGCAAGAAGAATTATTTGATAAATGTTTTTCTTCCAGCCTATCTTGATCAACAGCCAGCAGCAACACATTGCAGATATAATCTCAAGACCTTGTGGCATGCATTTGTCACTACATGCGTAACTTACTATGGACAGAGGATCACAGAAATTTTGAATATAATTTCCCACAAGACAGGAGATTAAATAGACCACACTGGAAGAAGGCAAGAAGCAGCTAGGTCTCTGGAGTACCAAAAAGTAAACTTCAGCCAGTTCTGGAAGCAGAAAACTAGCAGGAAATATACTTTCAGATGGGCTACTTTCTCAATAGTTCTTGCTTGCAAGAGCTCTAGGGAAAGTATGAGTTACTGGGTAACAATGTAATAGAAAAGGGGCCAGCCTTGGGAAAAATTGCAGTGGAAGAATACCAGTGTCTCCTCATTTACATCTTTCTTTCTCCTCTTCCTTTGTAATGCTACCTTTCTTGGGGTATTCTTTCCCCTAGAATACCCTGCCTGTCACCCCACAAGAACCTGCTCTTGAGACTGCATTTCTAATACCTATAATGAGATGTTATGTCAATGCCTTATCTCTCAGTGTGTGTATAGACACATTAAGCTTTCTCTCTATGCTGTGTTTTCTCATGCAGGAATATCAGACATTAATGAACCAGTAAAGAGGATGCTGGGGTGCAGAAGAGCTTTCCCAGTGTCCCATGAGCCATTCTACACAGCATCCTACAGCATGACTATGGATCTGCTGTGCTTAGTTTCTTTACTTGTGAAAACAGAGTAATAGTAGCACCTACCTCACAGGATTGTTCTGAAGATTAGAGGGGCTTTTTCATGGAAAGCTCTAGAGCAGTGCTGGAGACATGGTAAGTGCTCAACATGTGTTCATTATTATTATCTTTATCAATATTTGATGCAAAAGCCTTTCTGAAAGAAATCACACAAGAACATGATCAGTTAAAAAATACATATGAATGAAAGTATGTTTGGTGCTGTCACAACACAGAGTGGCATAATGGTTAGGAACATAGAGTTTGGAAGTCAACCATCTGTGCTCAAAGCCTAGTGTCACCACATGGCCATTGTGGGACACTGGGCCTCAGATTTCTGTGGGGAAAAGAAAGAGAGATCAGATTGTTACTGTGTCTGTGTAGAAAGAAGTAGACATAGGAGAATCCATTTTGTTCTGTACTAAGAAAAACTCTTCTGCCTTGAGATGCTGTTAATCTGTAACCTTACCCCAACCCCATGCTCTCTGAAACATGTGCTGTCAACTCAGGGTTAAATGGATTAAGGGCGGTGCAAGATGTGCTTTGTTAAACAGATGCTTGAAGGCAGCATGCTCCTTAAGAGTCATCACCACTCCCTAATCTCAAGTACCCAGGGACACAAACACTGCGGAAGGCCACAGGGACCTCTGCCTAGGAAAGCCAGGTATTGTCCAAGGTTTCTCCCATGTGATAGTCTGAAATATGGCCTCGTGGGAAGGGAAAGACCCGACTGTCCCCCAGCCCGACACCCATAAAGGGTGCCTCTTTGCAGTTGAGACAAGAGGAAGGCATCTGTCTCCTGCCCGTCCCTGGGCAATGGAATATCTTGGTATAAAACCTGATTGTATGTTCCATCTACTGAGATAGGGGAAAACCGCCTTAGGGCTGGAGGTGGGACATGCGGGCAACAATACTGCTCTGTAAGGCATTGAGATGTTTATGTGTATGCATATCTAAAGCACAGCACTTAATTCTTTACCTTTTCTATGATGCAGAGACCTTTGTTCACGTGTTTATCTGCTGACCTTCTCTCCACTATTATCCTGTGACCCTGCCACAACCCCCTCTCTGAGAAACACCCAAGAATGATCAATAAATACTAAGAGAGCTCAGAGGCTGGCAGGATCCTCCCTATGCTGAACGCTGGTCCCCTGGGCCCCCTTATTTCTTTCTCTATACATTGTGTCTTTTTCTTTTCCAAGTCTCTCATTCCACCTAACAAGAAACACCCACAGGTGTGGAGGGGCAACCCACCCCTTCAGATTTCTAGCCTGAAAAATGGAGGAACAATGTCTGTCATATAAAGTTGCTGTAAAGATAAAACCAGCTAAGAAATGTAAAATACTCAACAGTGCCTGACACAAAATAAACACCCAATTAATGGTAGCAGCAAGAAAAGAGCTCTCTTCAACCAACATCTTACCTTCAGAAATTGGTTAAGAAGAAATGAGTGCTTGGGAACCTTCCTGTTAGAGCTGGGAACACAAATAACCCCAAGATATGACCCAACTGGGAAATGAAGCACCAGAGTCAGCAGGTCTCAGGACTCGAGAACATGTCATAGATCTGGGGCCAAAGGGACTTCCCAATACCCCAGTCCTGAATTAGCCAGATGTGCCTTTCAGTCCTTGGCTGAGCTGGACTGAGGCCTCCTCCAAAGGGAGAAATAAATGTGCATCCTGAAGAGAGCTGACTCTGAAAGACAGAGAAACCCACAGAGGCTGAGTTTCACCAGCACTACTTCCAAGCACATTTCTCAGGTAAGTCATTTCTCTTCCCAAGGGGAGGATTGAATGAGTTTATGGTGAGAGGCTGAAAGCTTTTCTCCTTTATTTTCCCTCATGGGAGAGGAGTGGAAGTGCTATGTTCTCTGTGGGAACCTGCAGACTATGGATGTTTCCTCCAACAGTTGGCATTGACTGATTTATCTGCATGTCTCTCTATCCACATCTTCCATATGAAGAATCTAAGTGGGAATAGCCTCCAAAGTAATCTGATAGTACCAAAGCACTATTTTAGTTTTGTATAATTTTTAAGTCTCTTCTTTAAATTTTTTTTGGCAGACTCCATCCCAGACACAGCATACCAGAGTCTCCAAAGGGCTAAGCTCAGGAATCTATTCTGAAGCTCCCAACAGGAGTCTTATATAGCCAGGCAGGCAATGATCATATTTGGGGACCATTAGAAATAACCTAATGCATATCCTCTGAACTTCAAATTTTTAGTATTCTCGTTTTCTGCTCAGTAAGCTCAATTTCAATGCAGTTCACAGTTTCTCATATCCACCATGGCATTCTGCCAAGGAACTACAACTTGTATTCTCTAAACCCATCTGTTCTAAGAATGCTGGGCTGCTTATCAACTTCTAATGTACCTTGCTTAAACTTTCCTCTCTCGATGTGTCCCTGACTGAACTTCAGAAGACAGAACAACTGTACTAACCATCTCTTTCTGAATATCCCATGTCTCCACAGAGGCCACGGTGTCTTCACAAAGCTAACTGCCATGATTTTCGCAGGTGATATTGTCCCTTCATGATTTTCCATTTTCTACTTGAGCATTAAAATATCAGGAAGAAAAAGAAGATAACCATATAGCAGTTGGTAAAATAAGATATCTGCCCCAGCACAGTCCATACTAAGTATTCAGAATTTACAGTTATATTAGATAACTTTAAATTAGATAACTATTAACATAGTTATATTAGATAAGTAATATTTTTCTCATCTTCAAGAACTAAAAAATTAACTGTTTTAAGTGATATTTGAAAAAGGAAGATACATCAACCCAATTAAAACCACATTTTCTATAGCTGGATGTAACAATCTTAATCCAAATCATTCACCAAAGTTGTTTAACTTTCTTTTTTTTTTATTATACTTTAACTTTTAGGGTACATGTGCACAATGTGCAGGTTTGTTACATATATATACATGTGCCATGCTGGTGTGCTGCACCCATTAACTCGTCATTTACATTAGGTATATCTCCTAATGCTAACCCTCCCCCCTCACCCCACCCCACAACAGTCCCCAGAGTCTGATGTTCCCCTTCCTGTGTCCATGTGTTCTCATTGTTCAATTCCCATCTATGAGTGAGAACATGCAGTGTTTGGTTTTTTGTCCTTGCGATAGTTTACTGAGAATGATGATTTCCAATTTCATCCATGTCCCTACAAAGGACATGAACTCATCATTTTTTATGGCTGCATAGTATTCCATGGTGTATTTGTGCCACATTTTCTTAATCCAGTCTATCATTGTTGGACATTTGGGTTGGTTCCAAGTCTTTGCTATTGTGAATAGTGCCGCAATAAACATACGTGTGCATGTGTCTTTATAGCAGCATGATTTATAGTCCTTTGGGTATATACCCAGTAATGGGATGGCTGTGTCAAATGGTATTTCTAGTTCTAGATCCCTGAGGAATCGCCACACTGACTTCCACAATGGTTGAACTAGTTTACAGTCCTACCAACAGTGTAAAAGTGTTCCTATTTCTCCACATCCTCTCCAGCACCTGTTGTTTCCTGACTTTTTAATGATTGCCATTCTAACTGGTGTGAGATGGTATCTCATTGTGGTTTTGATTTGCATTTCTCTGATGGCCAGTGATGGTGAGCATTTTTTCATGTGTTTTTTGGCTGCATAAATGTCTTCTTTTAAGACGTGTCTGTTCATATCCTTTGCCCACTTTTTGATGGGGTTGTTTGTTTTTTTCTTGTAAATTTGTTTGAGTTCATTAACTGTCTTAAAGTAAGGCTCTAGACATTTGCTTCTTTACAAGTATCTTGCAAAGCCATTATGAGGTAGAAGAAAAGTTTAAATGCACCACATTTTTCTACTCCATCGTAACTAAAATTACTACTCACAGGATGTGTATAGCTTCTGAATTTTGGTCCATCACATTTTCCACCATCAAATGAGTATACTCTTAAGGTTCTCACTTTATCATCAGCATAATATATTTTGCTTCCAGAATGCCCAGTAAAGCTGAAATTTTTCATTTAAAGTGATAAAAAAATTCCCCAAATATCTACTTAACAATCTTAGATCTGAGTTTTGGCAAGACAGTTTAATGCATACACAATGAAAACACTACATTTGTCACTCTCTCTCACACATGCACAGATTAAAACCCCAAAGTTTTCACTGTATTTCCTCTTTCTTATACAGCTCAATTTTTAACATGCAGCTTACTTATAATCTAAAAACAATTTTAAACATGATTGTGATAAAATATTTTAAAACAGAGATGAAATGTATAAAGGCAGACATAGATCATCCATGGTTACATCCGTTACATTTCTTTAGAAACAGAACTGTTTCTTCTCCTGTAAACAGACTTTTTTTTCACACATTTAAAGCGAGGTCAGTGCTGACTTTAAGAAAGTTAAAGTTTGCACTGTGCTTGAGATACATTTTCTTCATCTGCACAGCCCCAGCACTCTTACTTGAGAGTATGAGTCAGCAGAAGTTTGCGGGCTAAAACCATTCAATAATATTTTCACCAATACTGGAATGGTAGTAAGTAACATTACAAAACATCAGAGGCCAAAAATGTTTCTTTGTTGGAGCCCAAGATTTTAATTTATTCTTCATTACCTGAAAATACTGCTCATTTAACCTCTTTGGGAAAAAAATATTCTGGAGATGAATAATTCCTTCATTAATGCTTCACCCAAGATGATTCCTTCACACTTATCCTCCAATGCTTTGTTGTTTTCATCCATTTGATGTAGCAGGCACCAAGAATCACCTTTCCTTTGGTGATCCAGCATAATGATCTCTTATGCTTTTTGTTAGTTGTTTGACAAATATTTTGTAAATTTTTCCACGGTATGTATGCACTGCTTTTTGTAGTTCCAGTTCTAAAGGTTTTATTAGGGAATGAATGTTGTCATCTTAAAAGAACAATTTCTCAGTGCTTCATAAACAACTCTAAATGCTGGTTGCTTATCATCATGGTAAACACCTCTGTTCCCTGAAGAATCAAGATTCCTTCTTCTGCTTCTTGGCAACTGCTTCCATATAGACAATGATCTGGATGATAATTCCATTGACACGGAAAGGCAAAAAGACTTTCTGGATTATGAAAAAACATGATATCCAACAAATCTTGATTGCCCATGTAAATCTTGATTGTCCATGTAATGTTTAGTTTGTATTCTTTAAGCCATGTCATAAGTATATCTCCTCATTGTAGTCACACAGTTTGTCATATCATTCTTGAAATACTTCCTTCTCATTTGAGTCATATTCGTCAACATAACTCCAGGGTTTACTCCAGTTTTTCCACAGTATGGTTGCCTAGCAAAGCGACTATACCATCTTATTTGAGGTTCCTTGTGTTCTGAGGCCACTGGAGCAATTTATGTGGAATTAAATTTCTTTAGTAAAGAACAAATATGATCAACTGGTCGTAAAAAAGGCTATTAGTGTGGGAGTCAACTTCTTTCAGGAATAACGGCAAGAACAATCTCTGTGGACCACATGGTTTAAAGAGTTTTTCCATGCTGATGCATTCTCACTTGGAAAGGTTATGGGGTATATTGTATAATTAAATATTTGCAGAAATGACCCCTGTCACGTCTTCCTTTACAGCTATGATGTAGCTGATCTTCAGCAAAAACCTGGCATTGAAGAGCTTTGATCCTGAAAATGATAGCTGACTTCAACATGGTCATAGTTTCTTCCAGTCTTTCACCACAGGCAACTACAGCTAGATGCATTTTCTCAACAGGCTGTATTTTCAGACGACACCTGTCCCACCCACCAGGATGCACAGCGGGACCAGCGCTGCCCGCGCCTCTCACGGCACCGCATCCGCCTCCTGCCAGCCAGGAAGCCACTGAGGCCTGCTGCTTCCCGCCACCACCGCCTGCTGCTTCCTCCAGGGACATGGGGAGCTGGCTGAAGGCGTAAAGGAGCGAGCAGAAGCCGCAGGCCAGACACAGCGCCACCACGTGCGGGTAGCGCCGCATCGCCCCAGCCGTGTTCCTTGGTCTCCGTCTCCGCCGCGCCCGCCTGGTGAACTGGAGCACAGGGACCATAGTTCTGGAAATTTATCCTTTTTCTCTCCATGGATTCAGCAGCAGTGTCTAAAAGAAAAAAATTCATCAATCAATCATTTATGTATATTTTAATATAAAGATAAAACAACTGCGAACCAGTGGAACTGGATAGAAAGTAATTCAATTTTACAGAACACATCTGTTTTTCAGGCTCTTTTATTAAATATAAAAGAGCCATATATATTTCTGTGGAACTCCCCCTTTTACTTAAGAATTCATTATCAGCGAATTAGTTTAAGGAGGCTGTTTTGTTAGAGGCTGTGGTTGCATTCAAAAATTAGAATAGGAACAATGACTTGTAAAAATTCAACATTTTATTTTATTTTTGAGATGGAGTCTCGCTCTGTCGCCCAGGCTGTAGTGCAGTGGCGCGATCTCGGCTCACTGCAACCTCAGCCTCCCGGGTTTAAGGAATTCTCTGCTTCAGCCTCCTGAATAGCTGGGATTACAGGCGCATGCCACCAAGCCCAGCTAATTTTTTTGTAATTTTAGTAGAGACGAAGTTTCACCACCTTGGCCAGGCTGGTCTTGAGCTCCTGACCTCGTGATCAGCCCACCTCCGCCTTCAAAAGTGCTGGGATTATAGGCGTGAGCCGCCGCGCCCGGCCGGAAGTTCTTTCTTCTTAAAAGGATTATAAATGTAATTCCCACTGGCATGACACTTTTACTAATATAGGTTGACTTTTTGCTTCAAATAACCCATTCGTACATCTAAATTAATTTCGCTCAGTATGTGTGTGTGCATGTGTGTGTGTGGATGTGTGTGTGTGTGGATGTGTGGATGTAAATCACAGTAAAGGGTAAAGGGAAGGTGGAAAAAAGGGGGATGGTCTAACATTTTTCACACATTTTTTAAATACACAAAAGATATGTAGTAAAAACAATGGTGTGGTGAAAACAAAATCTTGCAAACTAGAAAAAAGACAGTCCCCGGTCCCGTGTGGTCCCGTCCCGCCGCGGGGCCAGCCAGCTGTAAGCTCCACGCAGTTCAACAAGGGCCCCTCCTACAGGCTCTTGGCGGACGTCCAGAACCGGCTCCTGTCCATATATGACTCGCAGAAGGAGGTAGAGCTCCGCAGCTGGATCTAGGGACTCACCGGCCTCTCCATCGGCCCAGTGAGTCCCGACTTCCAGAAGGGCCTGAAGGACGGGATTATCTTATGCACACTCATGAACAAACTGCAGCCGGGCTCAGTCCCCAAAATCAACCGCTTCAGCAGAACTGGTACCAGCTAGAAACCCTCTCCAACCTCCTCAAGTCCATGGTCAGCTACAGCATGAACCCCGTGGACCTATTTGAGACTAACGACCTGTTTTAGAGTGGGAACGTGAGGCAGGTGCAGGTGTCTCTTCTCGCCCTGGCAGGGAAGGCCAAGACTAAGGGGCTGCAGAGCGAGGTGGACATCCGTGAGGAGTACTCAGAGAAGCAGGAGGGGAACTTCGACGACGCCACCATGAAGGCTGGCCAGTGCGTCATCGGGCTGCAGATTACCAACAAACGCGCCAGCCAGTCAGGCACGACTGTGTACGGCAGAGCACGAGGAGGCATCTCTACGATCCCAAGAACAACATCCTGCCCCCCATGGACCACTCGACCATCAGCCTCCAGATGGGTACAAGCAAGTGCGCCAGCCAGGTGGGCATGGCGGCTCCCAGGACCCGGTGGCACATCTACGACACGAAGCTGGGAATCACAAGTATGACAACTCTTCAGATATATTCAGATATATTTTTTCTTGCCTTCTGGACTTTGGTCTTCTTATTCATATGCTTTTCCCACTACCATCCCAGATTTGTATAATTAGCTCTTACTTTTATTTTAGTTTGCTCTTCATCTTCCCCACCAAGGGAAGCCTTACCTGATATCCCTAAATATGAAAGGCTTTCATAGCAGTGCATAGCTTTTCTCTGTTACTTATAATATTGTTTTTAAATTTTTATATTTTTATTACTATTAATAATAAATCTGAGCATGCTCTTTGATAAGAAGTCTAATAAAGTTTTGATGCAATTTGTAATTCAGTACATAATTGTTTTCTATAAGCCATGATTCTAGAGATTGAGGGGAAAATGCAGCAGTAATCTCTCCCAAGTGGAAGGACAAATAGCCAAGCAATATTGACCTACCCATTCATCTCTCAAAAACAGGGTTAAGTAATATTGATTCTCCTGTTTTCAGGATGAAGAAGGGACAGGGAGTTTCTTGCTTGTTATTTTCTCAACTCACTCTTTTTATGGAAAAAGTAATTAATCTGATAAATGACACAGAAGATTTTGATGTTTATTAGCAAGGTGGTGATTCCAAGAAGTTGAATTAAAAAGGCTTCAGAGCCTGTCTCTCTCAATCACTATCTTTGGGCTCTTGAGGCTGCTTGTGCACAAAATAGGAAGCACTTGTGTAAGAGCTGCATAGGCAGGCTCAGTCCAGCTACTGGTTTCATAAATCCAACTTTTCCAAGCATGACAGAATGTCAGAATCCCATGAGCCAAAAGTTTTATGATGAGAGAGAAAGAATGATATTTTGCTCCCCAATCTAATTTTCAAATTAAATTTTAAACAAAGTTAATAAAGTTAAATAAATTTAACAAAGCTGAATATACACACACATGCATACACCCATGCACATGCACACAAGCTTCTTGCATTCATTTTTTTAATTGTTTAATCATTCATGAGAAACGGTTTGATTTTGTATTTTCTATCTACCAATACTTGCACAAGCTCTGGTTGCAAAACTTCTGTTGGTCAAACATTAGCATTTGGGGAACAGGTCCCTGCTGAGAGATAGATCTTGATACAGCCTTAACTACATCATCAGTAGACATGGGACTGTTTTTAACTAGAGGGAGGCAAATGGCTTTCAGATGGTTGTGTAGCTGGTTTTAACAGTAGCCTGCAGTGGCTTTTTGACAGACATGAACCTTACTAGTTATTATTAGGCTTCAGAGCATTAGTATGAGGTTTTAATTTGCTTATGTTAGGCATGAGAAGGTAGCACTATCCTAGATGCCCTAAAAATTGTTCCTTGTCACTTTTTTCCGACTGAATTCAGAGGTAATTTGGGGACTGTGTCTAAAATGGTCTTATATTCATGTGCCATAGGTTTCTGAAGCTTCCATTCTGAACATGGTCTCAAGTTGGCTCTTGAGGGCTAATTTCATTACACATGATCATAGGCATAAATTTAAATGTATGGGGGATTGTTTTGTACATCCCACAGAATCTGGATTTACTATGAAGAGACTGTAGAGTTTATCAAAAAGAAGATAAACAGGAATAAAAGTTCTTGCTGTCTAGGGAATATATCATCTTCTTTGGGTAATGCCTATTAATGCTCCTCAAAATAGCTAGAGCATTCAAGGTTTGTAACCAGTTCACAATGACAGAAGTAGCTTCTACTAGAAATTAAATATATTAGTTCTTTCATTGAGTAACTATTGCTACAAGAATATATTTGCTGAATGAACTAGCATGCTTATTGACATAATTGATTTGCATACCATGGCAACACTTCATGGACCAAACCCTAAGTCCCATGAAAAATTGAATAGAATTATTTGACAGTTAAGTATCATTGGAAAAGCCTGGCTCTAGCAATTGCTCCTGCCATACTGAGAAGACATCGGATGAACTTAAACATTTTTATTTTTGTTTAAAGCCATCAAAACACTATGGGCCTAAAGTTACAATGAACTAAATTTCAGAGAAAAATAAGCCTTTCCTAGGTGATCACAGATTAGCAGCAGAGCCCATCTCTGAGGACATTTGCTGGATGTGGGGCCTTGAGTAGGTAGAAGGACTAGCCTACAATGTAGAAACACCTGGAACATTGGGAATAAGCAAAATAATCTACAGGGAACTGCAATAAGGGCTGAAAACTAGAAAGATCATGTAGTCTCCTAGCTCTTACTTATTTTCACTTAAGAGACAGGGTCTCATTCTGTCACCCAGGCTATGGTGCAGTAGACTGATCATGGCTCACTGCAGCCTCAAACTCCTCCCTCAGGTGATCCTCCTGCCTCAGCCTCTCCAGTAGATAGAACTACAGGTGCACAGCATCATGCCTGGCTAATTTTTATTTTTTGTGTGTGGACACAAAAACCCACTACGTTGCCCAGGCTGGCCTAGAACTCTTGGCCTCAAGTGTTCTTCCTGCCTTGCCCCCCACCCTCAAGCACTGCTGTTACAGGTGTGAGTCACCACATCTGGCCTCCCCTAGCATTTAGATACTAAACTGTTGGAAAAATGAGTAAACAATAAATATAAGTAGCATTTTGAGTGAGTATTTTCTTCCCATACACCCATGGGATGGTTTCGTGTATCTTACTACTTCACATAGGAGACCATTCCTCCATCCAACTATGCAAACTAAGTCTTTAAAATTTGATTTTTGCCCTACAATAAGCTCTATGCTAAAGCTCATTACATGTGATTTTGACAATTTCTGTTTTTATACCACAATTGCAGAAAATTAATCATATTCTTTACTTCATGAGACATTATTATTATTGTTTCCTAAAAGTTTCTTTCTGGTTTTACTTATTCAATTTTTTTATTCTTTATCCCTTGTCACAGACAGGCATGCTAATGTGTTTGATATAAGTTATTTACTCTTAAAGAATTCTTACAAGATAAGAAGGTTGTTTTCTGAGTGTGTGTATGTGTATATACAAAAGTGTATACGTTTTTCTTAAAGAGTATCATGCTATAAATCTAATTTTATTTCTATTTTTTTCACAGAGCATCACATCCTCCATATATTCTCACACTGCTGTAGGTTATTTTTGGTTGTTTATTCCCCTGTAGCTGCTGCATAGTTTTGGACAAAATGAATCAACCGCATTTTCCCTATCCAGTCTTGCAGTAGAATTCACACTGATATCCTGCTACTGAAATATTCACTTCCTTGTGGTATTCTTATGAAAACACTTTTTGGTCACGTGTCACAATTTGTCAGGGTCTACATTAGTCTGTTACTATTGCTATGAAGACACACGCGATGCTGGGTAATTTATTTATTTATTTTTTAAAAAAGGAGGTTTATCTTGGTTCAGGGTTCTGCAGGCTGCACAGGAAGCAATGGCATCTGCTCTGGGTGAGGCCTCAAGAAGCTTACAATCATGGCAGAAGGTGAAGGGGAGCCAGTGTGTCACATGGTCAGAGAGGGAGTAAGAGAGAGAAGGGGGCAGTCCCAGGCTGTTTTTAACAATCAGATCTCTCATGACCTCACTGAGAAGAAGTCACTCACAAGGGGATGGTTCTAAACCAAGCTTGTCTAACCTGCAGCTTGCAGGCTGAATGCAGGTCAAACAGCTTCGAATGTGGCCCAAAACAAATTTGTCAACTTTGTTAAAACATAAGAGATTCCGTGTGTGTGTGTGTGTGTGTGTGTGTGTGTGTGTGTGTGCGCGTGTGTGTGTGTGTGTTTAGCTCAGCAGCTATTTTTAGTGTATTTTATGTGTGGCCCAAGAAAATTATTCTTCCAATGTGGTCCAGGGAAGCCAAAAGGTTGGACATTCCTGTGCTAAACTATTCATAAGGGATCCACCCCACGATCCAATACCTCTCACTGGGCCCCACCTCCAGAACATGGGGGATCACATTTCAGCATGAGATTTGGAGGGGACACACATACAAACTATATCAGGTATATGTGACCGTCATTGAGACAGGTTGTAGAGTATGCATACTTTCAAAGGGGTCCTGTCATGTTATTTTCTGAAATGTTTAAAACCATTGAATTTCCCATCCATTGCCCATAAAGGTTGTTATCCTCATATCCTCATCACACAACGTTATCTAGGATTCTTATATTTTCTAAGCGAGTGGTGAAAATACAGATCTCATTTTATTGTGCACATTTGCATCTGTCATGTTGTTAATAATGTATTGGAATTTTTTGGCCCATCTTTCTGTTGAGTTGACTATCTTCTTTGTTCATTTGAAAATCAATCATATTCACTGTGCCCTAAGCATTGTCAACACTTTCTACTACTCTGTCACATGTCTGATAACCTTGCATACCAGCCTTTATTGAAATGAATCTTTATGATTTTTATACTCCTTCCAGAGTTTATGTATTTAAGTAAATTTTTTGGTTTAGTAAATCCTTTATTAAATTGTAACAACAGGCCCAAATCTCTGTTTTATTGGGTTCATTCAGATTTAGAATTCAGAAAACTTTTTGGTGGATAAATTTTTTATCATAATAAAGAATGGCTATGATAATGCAATATGATTATTTCTGCTAATGCTTATTGTTTTATAGCCTACTTTGTTTATGTGGTCAGGAGGACAAGACCTGAATGGCCTTGACAAACTCAGCTTTCTGTACCTCCTGGTTCTCAGAATAATTTTAGAATGTTCCGAGAAGACAATATCCTGAGATAAGGAGAAATTGTCTGGGAATGTCTGGGCTCTGCCCTTGTTGTTCCTAGAACAGGATATTCCTGCAACTCTTAAACTCAGAGAGCCAAGTAGCACATGGGGTGTGAAACCTAGGGCGGAGCACTCAGGGGTTCCTCAGCTGCAGTACACAGTGGAGCATGTGCAGAGGAGACTCCATCAACCCTGGGCAACTTTTCTGACCTCAAGGGTCAGGCTTGCCATAGAACTTAGGCTTTTGCTGATTCTTCCTGCTCCTCTGTGAGTAATAAATTTGGTTTATCTGACTTACTGTGTGAGCATTCTTCTGTTTCTGGCAGCTTGGTTTATATAAAAAAACCTCTTGCTAGACCTATGAATCTATGCAATGTGGAAGTGTCATAGAGGTAAATAGGAAGCAACTTAACTGAGTTGAAAACTAACATACACAACATGGGGCCACTGCACCAAGGGGCAAAATGAGCCGGCCAAAAAGGCCACATGTGACAATGCCAGCCACACTGTGGAAGAAGAAGGATGCTGAAACTCAGAGAGATCTGAAGATCTTATCCAAGCCAACAGGAGGCAGGGAATTCCACTGTACTCTGATTCAAGAGTACAAGCTTCATCTCAGAGAAAAGCAATGCAATGGCCTCAGCGATCAGACCAGAGAGATCCTCTGCCACAGAGAAAGCAGAGATCCAGAGAACAGCATGAAGACAATAAGAGGCTTGAGACTCACTTTCACTTTGCCTTGAGGCCACAGAAAGCCCAAAGCATCTGAATATCTTCTTGGAGGCATTTTCCTAAAATAGAGCTATTGAAACTTGAAGAAAAATGTGAATCAAGAAGCTAAATTTAAAGATATGTTATTTTCTCCTGCCCTCCTCCACAAATTAACCACAGGATAAGTCTAGTGAGATAAAGCATATCATTTATACAAAATACAGAAGTTACTTATTCTTTATGTGAGCAGAAATATGTTCAAATTTACTCAATAAATGTATTTTGTTTTACTACTAGAAATAGTAATTTTCACTTGGTGATTACTTTATTTTATAATTATCTCTATTTAAATTTGTGTTGGCCCACTCCTGGGTATCTACCTAGAGGAAAATAAGTCATATGAAAAAGACATTTGTACACACATTTATAGCAGCACAATTTGCAGTTGCAAAAATGTGGAACCAGGTTAAATGTCTATCAGCCAATGAGTGGACAAAGAAAATGTGTTATAGATACACCATGGAATACTGCTCAGCCCTAAAAAGGAATGAAATAATGGCATTTGCAGCAATCTGGATGGAGTTAGAGATGATTATTCTAAGTGAAGTAACTCAGGAATAAAAAAACAAATATTGTATGCTCTCACTTATAAGTGGGAGATAAGCTATGAGGGTGTAAAGACATAAGAATGATATAAGGGACTCTGGGGACTCGGAGGGAAGGTTGGGGGATGAGGGATGAAAGACTACACGTTGGGTACAGTGTACACGACTCGAGTAGTGCATACACCAAAATCTCAGAAAATCACCACCAAATAACTTTTCCATGTAACCAGAAACCACTTGTTTCCCAAAAACTATTGAAATAAAGTGATATGTATGGAAACAATGAATATGATAGTCTTGAGGTGCAACACTCACTGGGTTTCATATGGGAGAAAAACAGCTAAAATCAAACACATGGATAGACAGTCAGAACAATGTCCATCATATACATAGTAAAATTAATACAACTGCAAACATGCATGAGTGGAGTCCATTTGGAATAGCCTGCAGTGAAGATGTATGCCTTAGGGCCCACATAACTCATGTTAGGGAGAAAATGTATAACTTTATTCGATATGAAAATGTCTTCAGAAATAACTCAGTCCATGCTGTGCAGATGCAGTCCTGTACTGTAGAGACAAAGAATAAGAATCATCAAAGTGGAAAAACCGCTGCCCCTCCTCCAAATTCTGGTTCACACAGCAGTAGTACTACTGGAGAGAAAAGCCATACATGTCCCAAATGTGGGAAAGCCTTTACTTATCAGTCATTTCTTGTAAGACATATGAAAATTCACACTAGAAAGAAATCTTATGAATATGTCAAAAGTGGCAAAGGCTTTAGATATTCCCTACACCTTAATAAACATTTAAGAAAGAACATTCTGGACAAGCCCTATGAATGTAAGGAATGTGGGAAAACCTTCAGCAAGCCTCAAAACATGCACATATAAGGAGTCATGCTGGAAAGAAACCCTATAAATGTGACAAATGTGGAAAAGACTTTGCAAAGACATCAGAATTAAAAGCCACCTTAAGAGATACAATAGTGAGAAGCCCTGTGAGTGAAAGGTGGAAAATCATCATTAATTTTTCACCATACTGAACATGTGAGGAGGACACACTGGAAGGGAGCTCAATGAGTTAACATGCATGAGAACATCTTTCCTGAACTCTCATATCTTACGGAAGTGTGAAAAGAAACCCTGTGAAGGTAAACTCTATGGAAAGCCTTTCATTCATCTTCATTCATCTTGAGTAGCTATTTGTTCTCACACTGGAGAGAAGCTATGAAAGTAAGGAACATGAAAAAAGCCTCAGTGTTGCCTCAGACTCATAGTTCATACAAGAACGCACACTGCAGAGACTGCTTATGGAAGTAAAAAATGTAGAAAAGACCTCTTTAAACACTTAACCCTCCTGTTACACATGATTCCGCACTCTGGAGGGAGACTACAATGGGAATAAATATAATAAAGCTTTCAGTTCCAGCTCTTCACTTATTGGGCATGAATGAGCACATAGCAGGACTGAAGCACTGTAAATGTTAACAGTTGTTGCAATTATCGTTGTCTTATCTCTCAATTAGAACCCAAATTCATAATTTTATAGTTTTTCTTTTCTTAAAAAATGGTATAAAATGACAGATATCTGTCTTAGCCCCCTTTCTGCTCTGCCACCTTAATGTTGCTATGTAGTAGCTTTGTTACAATTCACTTACATACCCATGGTTTTATTTTCAATGTGAAGCCCTCTTTGAGATCCATTCAATTTAGATTTAGAATTCGTATGCTCCAGGATACCCTTTTTTTGTCAGTTTGTTTTAATTGGTCACAATTTGCCTGCATTATGGTCACATTATGTGGCTTTACTGGTACCGATTTGGGGTGCCTATTATGACTTTCATTATGGTCTAATGTGGCCAATTCTGTCCATTTCCCTGCTATATCCATTATTCTCATCTTCTTCACTAAGGGAGCATAGATTTATCTTTTACAAGGAGCACAGTTTATATGTCTTTATTTATTTATCCTTATTTTATTATTTAATTTATAATTTGTTTTTGAAAAATGCTGTCTCCCAGGCTGGAGTGCAGTGGCATGAGCATAGCTCACTGCAGCCTCCTGGGTTCCTGTGACCTCCCAGCTCAGACTCCTGAGTAGGTAGAACTGCAGGCATAACAGGTGTGCACCACCACACCCAGATTTTGTTTTGTTTTGTTTTTGTAGAGACTGGGTTTCGTTATGCTGCCAGGACTGGTTTCAAGTTCCTGTGCTCAGGTGATTCTCCCACCTTGGCCTCCCAAATTGCCAGAATTACAGGCATGAGCCACCATGCCTGGCCCTGATTAATGTCTTTAAATGAGTTTCCCAGTTTTTCTCATAACTGCAGTGAGCAGAGCTTATAGTCTTGGTCAATGTGAAATGCAGAATTCACTGGTTTGGATTTCTGAAAATCTGTTTGGAAAGGGAAGAGTTATTGTTCCTCTTTTCCCTTAATCATGTTCCCTTTGCTCTCGCTGCTTGCTGCTCTCTGGAAATAGGATGAAATGCCCTGAGTCCAGTTTAGCACCTTGAAGACCATTGGAATGATGGTCCCAACAACACAATCTTCAATATACAAGATTTCTCACTCCCCAGTGGCATGCTGGGTATCCATGGCTGCCCTGGACTATTTCTGGACTTGTTTCATAAAACTAACCCTTAGCAGAACTAAGAAACAATTTTAGGAGAGATACTTATAATAAATTAAATGATAAACCTAAAAATGAATAAAACATATTATAAAAATAAAGAGAATAGACAAAATGGGCTTGCAGATGCTGACTGGCCACACATCCTTGGTGCTCACCCCCGTGGATGCCTCACCAACTGTGACACTTGGAGAGCTGGCAGCCATCACTCAAGAAATCAGAACACAGTGGCCTCTACTGCACCATCAGCGAACAAAAACTAAGCCTGTCGGCTCTCAAGAAACATACTTATGTGTATGTATATATATATGAAATAAATTTATTCAGTTACTTTGAGATATCTCATTGCTAAACAGATAAAATGAATTAAAACTAGTGCAAATTTCTGGCAACAGTACTTCATCTCCCCATTATGTATCCAGGGCATTGAAAATTGGCACACATCACAGATCCTTAAGTCATTCTCTGAATCAGGAGGAGAAAAGAGGAGAACAGAGAGAGCTTACCATATGTGCCAGTCACTGGGCTGAGTGCTGTGACTAAAGGACCCCACTTGATGCTTGAAATAACCCTACAAGATCAAACTAAAAACTCATACACACTCACACACACACACTCACACACACACACATGCTCAAGCACACGCTAGAAACTACAGAACAAAGAAAACATTGACAACTAATAGAAGTATAGTGCTGGCTAAGCACAGTGGCTCATGCTTGTAATCTCAGCACTTTAGGCCAGGAGTTCAAGACAAGCCTGGGCAACATAGCAAGACACCATCTCTACAAAACATTTTCTTAGATAAAAATCATTTTTAAAAAGTGGTATAATGCCTAAGGGCTCAGGGAAACAGTACCCCTATGGCTGTATGGTAAGCAGCAGGCAAGGCTACTTGTCAGACCAAAGTGGTAGTGATTCCAGGGTTCCTTTGCACACTTATCCAGGAGCCTGGCTAGCTCAGCACTGCCTGGGTTTACTTTATACCTTCTACAGCTCTAAAGCTCTGGCAGGTGGGACCTAACCATAAGAGAAATTGCTATTACGCAGGAATCTCTTAACTGCAAGTGACTGAAACCTACTCGATCCAGGAGAACATTGAATTACTTGACTCTAATTACTAAAAATATCCTTAAGTATATGGGCTTCTGGCTCAGTGAGATCAGGGGTGAACTAATATCAGCCAAGACTCATTCTGTCCCTTCATTTCCTGTGTCAGCTCTGCTTTTCATGCAAGCTATTTTGAGAGAACAGCAAAAATGGCCCCATAAATTCCACATCATTTACTTCCTTGCAAATAGCTATGCCAATAAAAAGAAAGCACCCCATTCCCAGCAGTTTCATCAAAAGTGCAGGGATGACTTCCATCAGCCCAGCTTGGATCACATGCCCATCCCTGAGTTAATTACCCTGCGGATTGCCCAGGGTGGCCAGCCTCTCCCCAATCACATGGACTAGTATTGAAAGAGTGGTCCTCACATGAAAAAAAAATGGAAGAATAGTGGCAGAGAAATATGGGAGGGAGGGCCTCATCTCTATATAAAAAGTATGAGCATATTTGTGTTCTTTTGTACACTCATTGATGTAGTCACTGGGAAAATAATTGAGAAAAACCCACACACGACTTTCTACATGCCTCTGTGCTCTGTATTCAACACTGAGCTGTGAGAACTGTAATTATTAAAACAAAACTTTGAAGAGAAGTAACAATTTGGGACAATGGGGACCCTTAGCTGACATGACACCAGTGAGCAGTTCTTCTTTTGTGTGCATGAAGATGCAATTCCCAGGAGCCCACCTGGGGTCTTCTAGGACAAGCATGTGGGCACCTACTGGCTGCAGTTCCACCTTTCCTTCCCTGGACTCTCAGGGAGAAATAAGTTCTGGATTCAGCTGAACTGAGTTCAAGTTCAGGCTCTGTGACTCACTGGGTAAGTCTCTTGCTCTCCTTGAGTCCCATATCCTCATTGGTAAAATGGAGAGGTAGAGTTATTGTTAGGTTTGGAAGGCAAGGCGAGGGTTAAAGAAAGACAGAAAGAGATAGTTGGTGGCTTCAACAGCAACATCTTTATTGCCAGCAAAACCCTGGGGAGGAGGAAACCAGCTTAGTGCCAGCACCAATTGCCGCTCACAGGCTGGGGTAATCATGGGACTGGGAGGGAGGGATCTGGGTGGTAGAGCTTGCTGCCCAGCAGGATATGGCAAGGATGTCCCTGCAGTCAGGCTGTTGGGCCTTTGCCCAGGAAGATGCGATAAGGATGTTTCTGCAGTCACGTGGTTAGGAAGGATGTTTCTCATGGCCCAAGTTCCCATGGAACGTTTCACTGTGATCAGAGTCTGCAAAATGGCTGGAGGTTTACAAAATGGTACAGGTTAGACTAACAGTAACATCTCCCAGGTAAACAGTTCTACAAAGTAAACTTCCCTTGAGCATCTACACTGTACCAGACATGGTGCTACGACCCAGGCCACAGGAGGAACAGGACAGATGAGGCCCCTGCCATCCTGGTGCTCACGTCTGACGAAGGAAGCTAACAGGTCATAAGACCAGGTCAGATGGTGGTGATAATCAAAGACATTACCAGAGTGAGATGAGCTAGAAAGAAACCGAAGGAGCTCTTACAAACACAGTGACAGGTGGAGACCCCTCCGAAAGGTGACTTTTGAGCAGAAACCTGAGAAATGTGGAGGGGGCTATGGAGAACGACCAGCCCCTGAAGCAACCCCAGGATTGGGAGGGCAAACCCAGCACCAGGAGGGCAATGGAATGGCCTGACCTGTGCGTCCTTCGTGCTTCCTTCTTCAGTGATGCACAAACAGAAACATGGGGCAATTTCGTGAAGGGTCCATGGATGAATCAAGAAGCAGCCGCACTGCAGAGCTGGAGTGCAGATAAAATCTGACCCAACAGTAAAGCTAGAAGCAGGTGCTGCTTACCACTGACCACAGTGCAGGTCATGAAGCATAACCAGACCATGAAGGCACGTCCAGGGCCAGACCAGCTGGCTGGGCTGCCAACATCTTAGTAGAGATCCCAGATCAGTTGAGCTGGTTAGGGGGAGAAAAAAAAAAACAGGAAAGCTTCAGAAAATTCCAGAGGACCCATGACACTTAACATCAACTCCCCCCAAGTGGGATCTGTTTGTCATTGCTGGTTCTAAAGAGTTGGTCCCACCACCCCCACCTGCCCATTGCCTAACCAGGGGAAAACTCAGGGTGGGGTCCACAGAAACAATCCCTGTGGAAGGGGAAAGGGTGTTTCTCATCCAAAACCAAGGGAAAACACCACTCATAAGGAGCAGAGGAGCCTGAAGGGAGAGACAGGATTCTGCTGCTCATTTGGATATCTGTTTCCCAGCAGGAAAGGGGACCACGCAGGATACAAGGGCTAAGTGGACCCTGTGCTGTGGGGCTAGGAGGGATGGTGCTGACTCATTGTTGGAGGTGAGTCACTATAGGAGGCTTAGAACCCCTCCCTGCAGCCTCTCCAGTCTAATAAGGGAATGGTAGTGTGGTCAGTGGGGGCATCCAGAGGCAGTCAAAGGGCACAGTGAGTGATGTCTCCTCTGGCCTCCTCTTTCAGCTGCAGATTCTCCGAGTTACTGGAACAGCTTCTTCATGGCCCCACCAGCCTGGAGGGTGGTGACAGCTCCCAGATGACGCTAACCCCAGGGCCCTGCGCCATCCCCCCTGGTTCCCCTTGGCCCTGCCCACACCTTTGTAAACAGCTTTTTCTTAATGACCCTTCAGCCACTTCGAGGTCCCTGCCAGTACCTGACTGCCACATTCCCCAAAGGGAACAGGTTCCTCAGCACAGGAGCTGAGGTTTCTACAGGCACAGAGAAAACACTGTCCCAACTGTTGGAATGGAGTAGGGAGTGGAAAAAAGAACGTTTTTTCTCAATGCTTAGACTCACCAATTGTTTCATTTTATCACATGAAGGCTGTGTGGCATTTTGAAGTAGAATTAATAATCTACATAATTACAAATTATATTCTTAAAAGAAGGTGCTCAGTGCCATGCCTGACACATGGTGGAACTCCACGATGAGAGGTGTGAGAAGCCAGGGTGCCATGGTTACAGACAAGGACTGCAGGTACAGACTGCTTGCTTCAAACCTGGACCAGCGGTGTGAATTTTGGCAACTCTCTGTATTGCTCTTTGCCACAGTTTTTTAATCTAACAACTAGAAGCAAAAACAAGGTTATTGTAAAAATTAAATGAATTAAAGTAAGCAGAGTGCCTACAACACCCCCAGGCACACGGTCAGCACTGAGCATGTTTTTCATTATACTCTTAATGAGGTAAGAGTGAGAACACAGGTTCCAGCCATGAGCCTGGGGTTTCTCTGGCAGAAGCATCAGACACTCTACTTTTAACATCCTCCATTCATTCATTTGACCCTGATAAGGGAGGAGTCTCATGAGATAGGAACAAGCATCCACCTTGGGGCCAGACTTCCCATGGTCAAAGTTGAACTCCACCACTGTTCAGCTGGGTGACTTTGGGCAAGTGACTTCCCCTCTCTGATCCTCATATTCCCTTTTGATAAAAACAGCACAATGGCAGGCCTACGGGGATTGAAGGAGCTGACAGAAAAATGTGTGCCTTAGTATAAATTTCCTGGAAGTAGATCCTGAGGCAAATATTCAAATACAAAAATTCTATTTGGAGATAACTCTAGGATAGTAATTCGACTGCCAGTTCTTCCTTAGGATGCAAATCCCAGGAAACACCAGTAGAGGAGTGGGGAACTGAGACAGGAAAGGAATGCAGCAGTTAAAGGGACCTTCATCAAGAAAGTTTCCCCTGTGTCAGCCAGGACTCAGCCCTGCCAGGTACATCTGCAGAGACAGCACAGAACATGTGCCTCAGAGTCATCCCACCCAAAGCAAGGGAGCTGGGGTATTTATCCACCAATACCCACCAGTCACTCCTCAGGGATCCTTCCAAGGGCATGATTCCTCCAGAATGTCCTGCCTGAGCTGCAAGGGTCAGACCCAGGGTTGAGGACAGGGCCCCTGACAGTGCCTCCAGCAATAAGCAGGAACACAGCCTGGTGTGGAGAGTTTCAGTCAGTGATTCCAACTCATACACATACCCACACACCACACTCCAACCCCAACAATGTGTGTATGTACACACATATACATGCATACATGACTGTTAGCCACTTTGATCCTGGTGACTCCATGGGATATACAGTAAGGCAGAAATCAGAGGGAAAAGCAGAATTAAGGGGAGTGAAAATCTTAAGAACAAAATGCAAATTTAGGCAGAAAATCAAGCGGGAAGAGGAGTGGTCTGGACACCAAATGCCGGCTGGGGGGCACCTGCTCTACACACACTGTCACTAATTATCCAAGAAGCCTAGTGGGGTAGAAGAAATTCCTCTCAATTTACAGACGACAGAAATGTAGTTCAGAAAACTGACTTTACTAATGTCTCAGCAAGCTAGTGGGTGGTAGATATGGACTCCCAGATCTTTCTGCCCACAGAGCCTATAAATTCTCCCTTGTTAGGCAGGCTGCATACCAGGCCCTGCTTCTGGGCTCTGTTCCTTTTGCTGCTAGGCAGTCATGGCAGAATTGACAGAAATGTTATCCCCCTTCACCACCTGGAGCAGAGCCAATGAGAGGAGCTGGGGAACAGGCCATGAGGCCCTGTACCCACCATTCAATGTCTTCAGGATTGCGGTCCCTCAGAACTCTTGCACCACATGATGGCATCACTCCTGGGTGTCTTCTGAGGTTGCATAGGATTCAGTAGAGGCCAGTGGCTGTGCTGTCATATCCTAAGAGGCAGCCACGCAGTCTTGGGTCTCTTGGCTGCTTCAGCACCAGAGGTTGGACAGCGCCCATGCACTGAGGCCCTCAGGAGAATGGGAGGAGGGAAAGGAAGGGCAGAATGGAGTGATGTAGTGTCCATCCACCATGTCCCTGGATGGAGAGACCCACACCGGGACCACCACTGGTACTCATGAAGATGTCAGCCTCCATTTATATGTCCTCATCTGACAACTCCTTCCCATTTTCATCCTGGAGACAAGACCTCTGAACACATTAGCTCTGAGGGCACCTGAGTGTAACCTGAGACAGTCCCTGAAGACTTTTCATCCAAGCAGAATCCCTCCCTTGCCATCTCCAGACCTGCCCCACAAGCTCCCTCCCGGGTCTCCTGGCTCTTGTTCACTCCTTCCAGGCAGCCTTCTACAGTCATCTCTAAAACATATCTGACTGTCCCTCCTTTATCCAGCACCTTCCATGGCTCCCCAGAGCCCTCCAGATCAAGTTCAAGTTCTTTGATCAGACATTTGATCTCAAGCTGCATTCTACCTCCCAAATTAAGATACCCGAGAAGCCACCTTGCCCAGCATAAGTGCATCACTGAAGTCTTAAGTCTTGAACGTGGCCTTGGCCTTGAGGAAGTCATGAACACCCTGGCTAGTGAGGGTGCAGTGCTGCTCCAGGATGATGGTGTCTAAAGTTGTGCACCAGGTCACAGGCCCTGCAGAAGCATCACCGTCAGGAATGGGTAGTACAGGAAGTCCATGCACAGGCAGATCTGCTGGTGCCATTACACTATGAGGGCACTGAGCTCAAATAGGGTGGCAATATATTCACTGGGATTCCTGCAAGGTGAGGCTGGGGAGAGGAAGCAGCTCCATAACACATATGAAACCCTGGAAACACTTTTTAGCCAAAATCTCAAGACCACATTACACCCAGAAATGGGTGCCCTCTGAGCACACTTGTCTCTCTGTCTCCCACTCTGAGCTCCCTCATGGCCCCACATGCCCCAGCCTGGCCCAGAGCTTGAAGCCCATTAAGAGTTCAGTCCATGGTGTTGACTGCTCCCTGGGAAAGGATAGAGCTTGGTGGCTCTGGGACTCCTCCTGTGGAACCCCTGCATCTGCCTTGGGACCTCCCAATTCCCATGGGAAGCCCCCATGGCTCTGGATTGCCCCACCTGCCTGGGATCCTCCAGCCCCATAGGCCTTACTTGATGCCTTAGCCCTCCCAGAACATGACATGTTTCTCAGAATGTGGCTGATGTCCAGGGCCATCTGTGGATGTTTGCTGGGGACTTCTTGCTGATTTCCTTTATGGTCTGTAGGGGAGGGCCAAGAGGAGAAACCAGCCCAACCTCAGAATGGACCAAAGGCTCACTGCCCCAGTGGCAACCACCAAACAGTCAGCAGTGCTTCTGAAAGGAAAGAAGGTTTCATTCTGCAGAAAGCTCCTTGTTTGGCTTCTTTCTGATGCCAGGGAGGGGTACCAATCCCTGCATACCTGTGGTGCCTACGTTACCATCTCTGCCTAGGATGTGCAATGGGCCCCTGCTCCCACTGCAGGGTTGACGTTCCCTCCAGCTGGAGACCTGGGCTCCTGACAACGCCTGGCCTCTTTGTCCTGCTCTGGATGAGGGTGGAAAGGGTGTACCTGGTATTTCCCTAGGTCCTTGCTTTCCACCTTCTAAACATCCAGCAGGAGTGACCATGCCCAGCACCACATCTGAAGTGGGACTCCCTTGTGGAGCAGCCAAGAAATCTACAGATGGAAGAATGCTCTGGTGAGATAGGCCACAGGGGTCCCTGGGGAGGATCTGGGGCCGGAGGATCTGGGGCCAGAGGATTCTGGAGGTTTCCGGCCTTGGGCTCTGTGGAACTATGATCTGGAGCTATTTTTTCATTTAGGTCACCAAGAGACAACCCCTAACCCCTGAGCAAGGCATGGTCCAAGCTCTGGCATGACATTCTCTTCCAGTAATGCAATGCTTGCAGAGACAGGTACAAAAGCTGGTGACCAGGCCTGCTGTCCCCCAGGTAAGGAGAGTGTGCTACCCACCCTCTGAGAGGTGGTGCCAGGCCACAGCACTGGGTGCCTGTACCCCTGGCTCTGCAGACACCGGTCATGGAGGTGCCATGGAGGTCCTCCCCTCTCCACATTACCTTCTTGCTGCTCCTAGATTTCTTCTAGTCATTAAGCATGTTGAGCCATTTTTCTGTGCATCCGATCTGACATTTTTGCTCCCAGATGAAACATGACAAAGTAAGCTGAGCCACCAGGATTCCTGGAGGGAACCTTGGATGCTTGGTCTTGGGCTCCAGGGCACTGATGGGAAGGAGCCGGGGAAGGACAAACACTGGGGCTGAGCCCCTGTGACCCAATGGCAACTTGTGGCCGTCCTTATGGCCCCAAGACACCCTGTCCTCAGGCCACAGACACCATGGGCTTTGGTCAGGTCCCAGCCTCCCAGTAGTGTCCCGGCACTGACCCCTGAGCCACAACCACAGTTCTGGGTTTGGGGTTTGGTAAAACCACCCCAGGGACAGAGTTCTGGGGCCGGGTTTGGGAGGAACCAAGGCGCCTCCCAGGGATGGTGTGTCACTCCTACTTGCCATGAAATGTGCACACAGGCTGTCCTCCTGCCCATCCTATCCTGCTGGACAGGATGGAGAAAGTGAGGGAACAGGCAGCGTGGACAGCTGGGGTGCAGGGAGAGGCAGGTGCATGCTGGGAGGTCAGGCCCTGTGAGGGCTGTGGGGGCATCAGGTGGAGTGGGCTCCAGGTGCACCCTCAGTGCAACGGGCAGATCTCAGGCCAGGCTTCCTGGACCCCGGCTGGGTGATGTGGTCACTCCCTGGGGGACTACTGTCAGACCCTGGCCACCCACCCTGGGCAGCACTGTCCCATCCCAGGGCTGGATTTTCTGAGTCCTCAGACAGGACAGCACTGCCCAGGCCTGACAGACTGGGAAGACCTCTTAAGTCCTCCATCCCTAGACCAGCCTCCCAACAGCAGGGACAGTCTCCTACCCTTACCTTCAGGGCACTGAGTGATCCATCTCACTCTAAGGCAACCAAGGCAGAGCTGAGGACCTGTGCCAGGCTGGAAGCCAGTCCCCTCCCTAAATAGGCCTTAGGGAAGCCTCATCCCTGTCCCAGTGCACTGCAAGTTTCAGCCCAGGAGACACATAGGGAAGGGATGATGGGGCCTCCCCACTGGCTGACCTTGGAAAAGCGGGACCTGGGAGAAGAGGGAGTGCAGGGCTGGCAGGGGATTCTCCAGGCCCATGGAGAGCTCAGGCTGCACCATGGGGCTGCCCCTCCTGGGCTGGAGGCTGTGCCCTCTGCAGGATCTGAGGAAGTGCAGTCCTGAGATGGGACGGTGCTACCCAGGTTGGGTGGCCAGTGCCTGACAATAGTCCCCCAGCAAATGACCACATCACCCAGCCAGGGTCCAGGGAGCCTGGGCCAAGACCTGCCCAGTGCACTGAGGGTGCACCTGGTGCCCAGTCCACCTGATGCCCCCACAGCCCTCACAGGGTCTGACCTCCCAGCATGCACATGCCTCTCCCTGAAACCCAGCTGCCCACCCTGCCTATTCCCTGGCCTCCTCCATCCTGTGCAGCCCATAGACTGTGACCATCTCTCTGGCCACTCTGGTACTTCCTTTACCTTTGTCCTGTCAGAATCTCTGAGCAAGATCTCCCAGGTCCATCCAAACACCTGCTTTGTCCACTTTTGACTGGGCCATTGAACACCACTGGGCCATCCCAGCTGTCCACAGGGCCCTCGATAACATGCATTTCTCCTGACATCTCCCTGTAGTGCTCAGCACCCCCACTGAACAGGTCCCTGCTGACCAGATCCAGCATATCAGATCCTCCCTGACCACACCCTCACTGACTAGACCCCCATCACGAGGCCTCACTGACTAGATTCCCGCTGACAGGCCCACAATGACCAGGACTCCACTGATGAGGACCTTACTGACAAGGCCTCACTGGTAAGGCCTCACTGGCCAGGTCATTACTGACAAGGCCTCACTGATCAGGTTCCACCGATCATGACCCCATTGCCTGGTCCCACAGATGAAGCCCCACTGACCAGGCCTCCAGGGAATAGGCTGCCAGTGACCAGGCCCCTGCTAACCAGGTCTGAGGTGACCAGATGCCCCTGACCGGGACTCTAATGAGTATGCCACACTGAACAGGCACGCACTGCTCAGATCCCCGCTGACCAGGTCACCCCGTAGACCAGTGCTACAAAAGCCACCACTGATCAAGTCCTCTCTGACCAGGCCCCCACTGATTAGGTTCCACTGAGCAGCCTGCCCTCACCAGGGCCCCACTGACAAGCGCCTCTGCTGACTAGGTCCCATGTGACCAGGCCTCCACTGAATAGCACCCCTTGACCTGGTCACCAGTAACCCAGCCCAATCAGACAAGGCCACAACTAAGCCCCAGCTGACAAGGTCTCCACTGACCAAGTCCCACAGCCCAGGTTGGCATTGACCAGACACCAAACATTTGTCTGCCACTAGGAACCCACTCACCAAGACCTGCACTACTAGATCCCTCTAATGAGACCCTCTCTAAGCAGACCCCTGCTGACCACCCCCCACTAAATAGGCCTCACTGACCAAGTCCCGACTGACTAGGTCCACTGAGCAGGCCCACACTGATCAGGCCCCTCCTGACCATATCAGAAGGCCAAGCGGCAATGAGATGTTTCACATGGCAGGAGTAGGAGCAAGACAGAGAGAGGAAAGAGGTGTGACATCCTGTTAGACAAGCAGATCACATAAGAACTCACTATCAGGACATCAGCATCAAGACTAACCAATGGTGAAGGATTCTCCACTCACACCACCGCCCACTGTTTTCAGGCAGAAGCCTCCTGCAGAAGCAGAACCTCTTAGGAAACTTCCACTATGGCAGTGCAGAAGGAAAATATAGGCTTTGAGCCCCGACACAGGAGGCCACCATCCTCCAGACTCCAGGTTCATAAGCCCACCAACAGCTCACACCCTCAGTACAGAAAAGCTACAGGCACTCGACACCAACCCAGCCCATGAGAGCAGCCATGGGGGCTACACCCTGCAAAGCCACAGGTGCACTGTCCTAGTAGAGGTTTCCCATGAGCCTCTGCCTCTGCAGCAGGTTACTCCCACCCTCCCACCACCCTACTGATGACCTACTCCTCCCTACACTACCCCTCCTTTTCCTTCCACTCCAACCCCCTCCCATCCAAGATTAAATCACCTCCCACCTGGCCCACCTCCAACATTAAGGATGACACGTGAGTTTTATAGGGACACACAGCCAACCCATATTATTCTGACCCTGATACCCCAGAACCTCATGTCCTTCTCACAGAGCAAAACACAATTATGCCTTTTCAAAAGTTTCCAAAAGTCTTAACTCATTCCAAATGTAAAAATTTCAAAGTCTCATATGAGACAAGGTTACAATCCCTTCTTCCAATGAGTCCCTGAATTTAGAAGGGATTTCTTTTCCTTCAAGGTACAATAGGCATTGGGTAAGTTTTCTCAATCCAAAGGGAAGGAATTCCCCAGAAAAATAACACAAATGCAAGTCCAAACCCCAGCAGGACAGTATTCATTCAATCTCAGAGCTCTGTAATTATCAAGAGAACTCACTATCATGCAGACAGCATTAAGGAGACAGTGTTTAACCATTTATGAAGAATCCAACCCCCACACTCATCTTTCACCCCCACCCACAAAACAATCTCCCCATTCTCCCCACAACCCTACCTCCAACACCCACTCTTCTCCATGATTAAATCACCTCCCACCAGGCCCCACCTTTAACATTCACCATCACAATTCCATGAGAGTATTGGTAGGGACAAAAAGTCAAATCATATTATTCTGACTTGGGTCCCCCCCAATCTCATATCCTTGTCACACTACAAAATACAGTGATGCCTTATGTACAGTCCCCCAAAGTCTTAACTCATTCCAGCATTTACTGAAATGTCCAAAGCCCAAAGTCTCATCTGAGACAAGGCTGCAGTCCCTTCTGCTCATGAACCTCTGAAATACAAAGCAAGTTAACCGTTTCCAAGGTGCAATGATTGTACAGGCATTGGGTAAGCATTCCCAGCCAAAAGGAAAAAATTTGCGAGAAAGAAGCACAAAACACAGATGGGACTTACAGACCCCATGCAAGTCAAAAACCCAGCAGGCCAGTCATTGAATTCTACAGCTCCCAAATCATCTTTTCTGAATCTGTATCCGACATCTGGAGTACAGGGGTGGATGGCTGGGATCCCAAGGCCTTGGACAGCTCAGCATCTGTAGCTGTGCAGGGTCTGTCCCCCACAGGTGCCCTCATGGGCTGGGCTGGTGTTGAGTGCCTGTGGCTTTTCCACACTGAGGGTGCCAGCAGTTGGTGGGACTATGAATCTAGGGTCTGGAAAATGGTGCATGCCGGTGTGGGGGCTCCAACCCTATATGTTCCTTCTGTACTGCCCTAGTAAAAGTTTCCCATGAGGCTCTGCCTCTTGGAAAAGCTTCTGCCTCAACACAAAGGTTTTGCCGTACATACTCTGGTGTCTAGACAAAGGCTCCCAAGCCTCTAGTTTTGTGCTCTGTGCACCTGCTGGCTTAGTACTATGTGGAAACCACCAAGGCTTGAAGCTTGCACCCCTGAAGCACTGATGCAAGCTGTACCTGTGCATCTTTCAGCCATGGCTGGAGCTGGAGCTGGAGCTGCAGGGATACAGGCAGCAGTGTCCTGAGGACGGACACAGCAGCACGACCATGGGAATCACCCAGGAAAGCATTCTTCGGTCCTAGAACTCGGGGCCTGTGACAGCAAGCTCTGCTGCAAAGGTCTCTGAAATGGCTTCAAGGCCTTTTAAACATTGTCTTACCTATTAGCACTGGGCTCCATTTCATGCAAATTTCTGAAGCCTTCTTGAATTTTCCCACTGAAAATCAGCTTTGCTTTTTGACCACTTGGCCAGGCTGCAAATTTTCCAAACTTTTAAGCCCTGCTTCTCATTTAAATATAAGTTTCAACTTGAGGTCATTTATTCAGTCACACAGAAGACCACAGGCTGTTCAAAACAGACAAGACACCTCTTGAGCTTTGCTGCCTACTTCATTTCACCAGATATACCCTAAATCATAGCCCTCAAGTTCAAAGTTTCAGAGGTCTCCAGGGCAGGGACACCATCCAGCAAAGTTCTTTGCTAAGGCAAAACAAAAGTAAACTTGACTCCTGTTCTCAGTAAGTTGTTCATTTTCATCTGAGACCTTCTAAGCCTGGCCTTCACTGTCCATCCTTCAGTCACTCCTTTAATTGTAGATATGTAACAAGTCTCTATGGTCACCCTTTTAATTTAACACGTCTCTAAAATAGTCCAAATTTTCCCTCATCTTTCTGTCTTCTTCCAAGCCCTCCAAACTGCAGCGTCTTGTTACCCACTTCTGAACCTGCTTCTACATTTTCAGCTACCGTTGTGGCAGCCTGGCAATGTGGTAAAAGAAGAAAAGTCCATTTTCAGGGAGAAAATTCAAGAAGCCTTCAGATATTTGCATATAAAATAAGCCAAATGCTAATAGTAAAAAAAAAAAAAGAGGAAAAAACCTTGAGGGCATTTCATGGCTCCATTCTACAGTACAAATTTTCTGTAATATTATTTTTAAAAGAGGTTTAATTGGCTCATGTTTCTGCAGGCTGTAAGGCAGCAAGTGGCTTCTGCTTCTGGGAGGACTCAGGAAGCCTCCCAATCATACCAGAAGGCCAAGTGACAATGAGATGTTCCATATGGCAGGAGTAGGAAGAAGACACAGAGAGGAAAGAGGTGCCACACTCGGTTATACAACCAGATCTCATGAGAACTCACTATCAGGAGATCAGCATCAGGAAGATTAACCAATGGGGAAGGATCGGCCCATACCGCCCCCCACTGTTTCAGGCAGAAGCCTCCTGCAGAGGCAGAACCTCTTGGAGAACCTCTACCAGTGCAGTGCAGAAGGAAAATATGGGCTTGGAGCCCCCACACAGGAGGCCACCATCCTGCAGACTGCAGATTCACAGACCCACCAACAGCTTGCACTCTCTGCGTGGAAAAGCTACAGGCACTCCACACCAGCCCAGCCCATGAGAGCAGCCATGGGGGCTACACCCTGCAAAGCTACAGGTGCACTGCCCTAGTACAGATTTTCCATGAGCCTCTGCCTCTGCAGCAGGCTACTCCCCCTTCCTGCTACCCACCACCCTCTCACCACCCTACTAACAACCTACTCCTCACCCTACCCACCCCTTTTCCTTCCACCCCCGGCCCCCTCCCATCCATGATTAAATCACCTCCAGCCAAGCCCCACTTCCAACATTAAGGATTACAATTCACATGAGTTTTGGTAAAGAAACACAACCAAATCATATTATTCTGACCCTGATCCCCACAGTCTCATGTCCTTCTCACAGAGCAAAATATATTCATGCCTTTTCAAAAGTTTCCAAAAGTCTTAACTCATTCCAACATTAACTCAAATGTAAAAAAAATCAACATCTCATCTGAGACAAGTCTACAGTACCTTTTGCATATAAGTCCCTGAATTTAAAAGGATGTTCTTTTCTTTCAAGGTACAATAATGGTACTGGCTTTGGGTAAGCTTTTTCAATCCAAAGGGAAGAAATTTCCCAGGAAGGAAACACAAATGGGACCACAGGCCCAATACAAGTCCAAAACCCAGAAGGCCAGTATCCATTCAATCTTACAGCTCCAAAGTCATGAAGAGAACTCACTATCACAAGGACAGCAATAAGGAGAGTGTTTACTCATTTGTGAAGGATCCGCCCCCCACCCCCAATTTTCACTCCTCACCTGCACCATAAATCCCCCATTCTCCCTATGCCCCATCTTCCAACACCCACTCTCCACCGTGATTAAATCACCTTCCACCAGGCCCCACCTTTAACATTCCGATTACAATTCCACATGAGTTTTGGTAGAGACACAGAGCTGAATTTTATTATTCTGTCCTTGGCTCCCCAAATCTCATGTCCTTCTCACATTGCAAAATACAATGATGCCTTCCCTACAGTCCCCCAAAATCTTATATCATTACAGCATTTATACAAATGTTCAAAGCTTAAAGTCTCATCTGACACAAGGCTACAGTTTCTTAGGCCCATGAGCCTCTGAAATATAAAGCAAGTTAACTACTTCCAAGGTACAATGCTTGTACAGGCATTGGGTAAGCATTCCCAGCCAAAAGGAAGAATGTTGCCGGAAAAAAACAAAACACAGATAGGACTTACCGGCCCCATGAAACTCTAAACCCAGAAGGCCAGTCATTCCATCCTACAGCTCCAAAATCAACCTTTTTGAAACCCTGTCCCACATCCAGGGCACAGGGGTGTGAGGGCTGTGCTCCCAAGGCCTTGGGCAGCTTGGCACCTGTGTCTTTGCAGGGTTTATGCCCCATGGCTGCCCTCATGGGCTTGGCTGGTGTTGAGTGCCTGTGACTATTCCCCACTAAGAACACAAGTTGCTGGGGGGTCTATGAATCTGGGGTCTGCATGATGGTGGCCTCCAGTGTGGGGGCTCCAACCCCATACTTTCCTTCTGCACTGCCCTAGTAGAAGTTTCATATAAGGCTCTGCCTTTTTGGGATGTTTTTGCCTGGACACCCAGGCATTTCCATACATCTTCCAAAATCTATAGAGAGGTTCCCAAGCCTCTAGTCTCATGCTCCGTCCACCAGTGGCTTAACACTATGAGGAACTTACCAAGGCTTCTAGCCGGCACCCTCTATAGCAGTGACCCAAGCTGTACCTGCGCATCTTTCAATCATGGCTGGAGATGGACCTGGAGCTGGAGCCACAGGGATGCAGGCAGCAGTGTCCTGAGGCTGCACACAGAGGGGGGTCATGGAACTGGCCCAGGAAACCATTCTTCTCTCCTAGGCCCCAGGGCCTGTAACAGCAAGGGCTGCTGCAAAGGTCTCTGAAATGCCTTCAAGGCTTTTTCCCTATTCTCTTGTATATTAGCACTGGGCTCCTTTTCATGCAAGTTTCTGAAGCCTTCTTCAATTTTCCCCCTGAAAATCAGCTTTTCTTTTTGACCACATGGCCAGGCTGCAAATTTTCCAAACTTTTGAGTTCTGTTTCTCATTTACTATAAGAGTTCGGACTCATTTAATGTAAGTCCCATCCAGAGGTCATTTCCTCCATCACACATAAGAGCACAGGCTGCTCGATGGAGACAGGACACCTCTTGAGCTTTGCTGCTCAGATCATTCCATCAGATACTCAGTAAATCATCACCCTCAAGTTCAAAGTTTCACAGATCTCCAGGGCAAGGTCACTGTTCAGACACGTTCTTTGCTAAGGAAACAAAAGTAACTTTGACTTCCGTTCCCAGTAAGTGCTTCATTTTCATCTGAGACCTTCTAAGTCGGGCTTTCACTGACCATTTTCCTGTGAGCCTTCTGATCACAAGTGTTTAACAATTCTTTACAAAGATCCAAACTTTCTTTCATCTTCTTGTCTTTGAAGCCCTCCAAACTCTTCTGACCTCTGTCCGCTACTCCCTTCTGAACCTGCATCTACATTATCACTATCTTTGCCACAGCCTGGCAATGTGGTAAAGGAAGACAAGTCCATTTTCAGGGGGAAAATTCATGAAGCCTTCACATACTTGAATGAAAAGAAGCTGAGTGATGATTGCCAAGACAATGACATTTAATAGTTCCACTTTGCACTACTAATTTTCTCTATGATCATAAAGAAAAGAGGTTTAATTGGCTCATGATTCTGCAGGCTGTAAGGAAACACAGTGGTTTCTGAATCTGGGAGGACTCAGGAAGCCTCCCAATCATACCAGAATGTCAAGGGGCAATGAGATGATTCATGTGGCAGGAGTAGGCACAAGACAGAGAGGAAAGAGAGCCACACCCTATTATACAACCAAATCTTATGTGAACTCACTATTACAAGGTCAGCATCATGAAGGTGGTGCTTAAACATTGATGAAGGAACAAACACCCACCCCCAACTCCCACTGTTTCCAAACAGAAGCCTGCTGTACAGGCAGAGCCTCTTGGAAAACCTCTACTAGGGCAGTGTGGAAGGAAAATATGGGCTTGGAGCCCCCACGGAGATGACCACCACCCTCCAGACCCCAGATTCACAGACCCACCAGCAGCTCACACCCTCTGTGCAAAAGCTACAGGCTTTTGCAAACCTCAACACCAACCCAGCCCATGAAAGCAGCTGCAGGGGCTCAACCCTGCAAAGCCACAGGTGCACTGCCCTAGTAGAGGTTTTCCATGAGGCTTTGCCTCTGCAGCAGGCTACTCCCCCTTCCTACTACCCCCAACTCTCCCACCATTCTACTGCCAGCCTTCTCCTCCTTCCTACTACCCCCAACTCTCCCACCATTCTACTGCCAGCCTACTCCTCCCCACCCTAACCAACCCTTTTGTGATACCCTACCTTGTTTTAACCTGATAGACTCTCCCTTAGCTGAGGGAGCCAGGCAGACTCCATCTTGGCTGTGTCACTTGCAGCCCCTTACACACAACCCTTCCTAAAGAACATAACTTGGGCAAGCTGACTCCCAGCACATCAAAGAATGCAATTACTGACAAGATACTGTGGCAAGCTATATCCACAGCTCCCAGGAATTCACCCCGTTGATGGTACCTAAAACCCCCGCATTTGTGTCCAGTTGATAGCACCCAGAGCCCCCACATCTATCACCTTTTGATGGATTTAAAGCCCCTGCACCTGGAACTGTTTGTTTTCCTGTAGCCATTTACCTTTTTAAATTTTTGCCTGTTTTGCTTCTGTAAGATTGCTTCAGCTAGGCTCCCCTTCCCCTTTCTAAACCAAAGTATAAAAGAAAATCTAGCCCCTTCTTAGGGGCCGAGAGAATTTTGAGCACTAGCGCTCTCTCGGTTGCCAGCAATAAAGGACTCCTGAATTCGTCTCATAGTGTGGGGTTTCTCTACAACTCGCTTGGTTACAATCCTTTTCCTTCCACCCCCAACCCACCTCCAATCCATGATTAATCATCTCCCCCATGCCCCACCTTCAACATTTGGAATTACAATTCCACGTGAATTTGTATAGGGACACACAGCCAAACCATATTATTCTGACCCTGATATCCCAGAATCTCATGTCCTTATCACAGAGCAAAATACAATCATGCCTTTTCAAAAGTTCCAACAGCCTTAACTCATTCCAAGTGTAAAAAGTTCAAAGTCTCATCTGTGACAAGGCTACTGCCCCTTCTGCCTATGAGTCCCTGAATTTAAAAGAGATTTCTTTTCTTTCAAGGTACAATGATGGTAGAGGTATTGTGTAAGCTTTCTCAATCCAAAGGGAAGAAATTTCCCAGAAAAATAACACAAATGGGCCCACAGGCCCAGTGCAAGTCCAAAACCCAGCAGGGCAGTATTCAATCTCACAGCTCCAAAATCATCAAGAGAACTCATTGTCATACGGACAGCATTAAGGAGACAGTGTTTACCCATTTGTGAAGAATCTGTTTCCCCACCCTCATCTTTCACTCCCACCCACAAAATAATCTCTCCCACTCTCCCCACACCACTACCTCCAACACCCACTGTTCTCCATGATTAAATCACCTCCCACCAGGTCTCACCTTTAACATTCCCTACTACAATTCCAAATGAGTATTGCTAGGGACACAGAATCAAATCATATTATTCTGGCTCTTGCTCCCCAAATATTGTATCCTTGTCACACTGCAAAATACATTGATGACTTCTTTACTGTCCCCCAATGACTTAACTCATTCCAGCATTTACTAAAATGTACGAGGACTTACAGACCCCATGCAAGTCAAAAACCCAGCAGGCCAGTCATTGAATCCTACAGCTCCAAATCATCTTTTCTGAATGGACATCTCACATCCAGAGCACAGGCGTGTCATGGCTGGGCTCCCAAGGCCTTGGGCAGCTCTGCACCTGTGACTGTGCAGGGTCTATCACCCACAGCTGCCCGCATGGGCTGGGCTGGTGTTGAGTGCCTGTAGCTTTTCCACACTAAGGGTGCCAGCTGTTGGTGGGTCTATGAATCTGGGGTCTGGAGAATGGTGCCTCCATATTTAGGGACTCCAGCCCTATATTATCCTTCTGTACTGCCCTAGTAAAGGTTTCCCATGAGGCTCTGCCTCTTGGAAAAGCTTCTGCCTGAACACAAAGGTTTTTCCGTACATACTCTGGAGTCTAGACTAAGGCTCCCAAGCCTCTAGTTTTGTGCTCTGTGCACCTGCTGGCTTAACACTATGTGGAAGCCACCAAGGCTTGAAGCTTGCACCCCTGAAGCGTGATGCAAGCTGTACCTGTGCATCTTTCAGCCATGGCTGGAACTAGAGCTGCAGGGATGCAGGCAGCAGTGTCCTGAGGCTGCACACAGAGGGGGATCATGGAACTGGCCCAGGAAACCATTCTTCTCTCCTAGGCCCCAGAGCCTATGATAGCAAGGGCTGCTGCAAAGGTTTCTGAAATGGCTTCAAGGCCTTTTCCCTATTTTATTGGCTGTTAGCACTGGGCTCCTTTTCATGCAAATTTCTGAAGGCTTCCTCAGTTTTCCCCTGAAAATCAGCTTTTCTTTTTGACCACTTGGCCAGGCTGCAAATTTTTGAGTTCTGTTTCTCATTTAATATAAGAGTTGAGACTCATTTAATGTAAGACCCATCCAGATGTCATTTCCTCAGTCACACATAAGGGCACAGGCTGTTTGATACAGACAGGACACCCCTTGAGCTTTGCTGCCCAGAAGTTCATTCCATCAGATACGCAGTAAGTCATCACCCTCAACTTCAAAGTTTCACAGATCTCCAGGGCAGGGTCACTGTGCATCCATGTTCTTTGCTACAGCAAAACAAAAGTCACCTTGGCTCCTGTTTGCAGTAAGTTCCTCATTTTCATCTGAGAGCTTCTCAATCTGATCCTTACTGTCTATTTTCCTATGAGTCTTCTGATCACAAGTATTTAACAATTCTTTACAAAGATCCAAACTTTCCCTCATCTCCCTGTCTTTGAAGTCCTCCAAACTCTCCCGAACTACATCTGCTACCCGCTTCTGAACCTGCTTCTACATTATCAGCTATCTTTGTCACAGTCTGGCAGTGTGGAAAAGGAAGACAAGCCCATTTTCAGGGGAAAAATTCAAGGAGGCTTCAGATACTTGAATGAAAAGAAGCTGAGTGCTGATTGCCAAGACATTAGGGAGAAGGCCTTGAAGACATTTAACAGTTCCACTTTGCAGTAATAATTTTATCCATGATCATAAAGAAAAGAGTTTAATAGGTTAATGATTCTGCAGGCTGTAAGGAAGCATAGTGGCTTCTGCACCTGACAGGACTCAGGAAGCATCCCAATCATACCAGAATGTCAAGGGGCAAGGAGATGTCTCATTTGGCAGGAGTAGGAGCAAGACAGAGAAAGGAAATAGGTGTCATGCCCCATTATACAAGCAGATCTCATGAGAACTCACTATCACAAGGTCAGCATCAAGAAGATGGTGCTTAAACATTGGTGAAGGATCTGCCCCCCAACCCCAACTCCCACTGTTTCCAGGCAGAAGCCTCCTTCAGATGCAGAGCCTCTTGGAAAACCTCTATTACGGAAGTGCAGAAAGAAAATGTGGGCTTGGAGCCCCCACACAGGTGGCCACCAACCTCCAGATCCCAGATTCATAGACCCACCAACATCTCACGCACTTAGTGTGGTAAAGCTACAGGCCCTCAATACCAGCCCAGCCCACGAGAACAGCTGAGGGGCTAAAAACTGCAAAGCCACAGGTGCACTTCCCTAGTGGAGGTTTTCCATGAGGCTTTACCTCTGCAGCAGGCTACTCCCCCTTCCTACTACACCCCACCCTCCCACCACCCTACTGCCAACCCACTCCTCCCAATCCTACCCATCCCTTTTACCTTCCACCACCACCAAACTCCTGTCCATAATTAAGTCACCTGCTTCAACATTAGGGATTACAATTCCACATGAGTTTCATAGGGACACACAGGCAAACCATATAATTCTGACCCTGATATTCCACAATCTCATGTCTTTATCACAGAGCAAAATACAATCATAACTCTTCAAAAGTTTGCAAAAGTCTTAACTCATTCCAAATGTAAAAACTTCAGTCTCATTTGAGATAAGGCCACAGTCCCTTCTGCCTATGAGTCCCTGAATTTAAAACGGAGTTCTTTTCTTTCAAGGTACAATGATGGTACAGGCATTGTGTAAGCTTTCTCAGTCCAAAGGGAAGAAACCTCCCAGAAAAATAACACAAATGGGCCCACAGGCCCAATGCAAATCCAAAACCCAGCAGGACAGTATTCACTCAATCTCTCAGCTCCAAAATCATCAAGAGAACTCACTATAATGTGAACAGCATTAAGGAGAGCATGTTTATCCATTTCTGAAAGATCTGGCCCCCACCCTCATCTTTCGATCCCAGCCACAAAATAATCTCCCCTATTCTCCCAAGTCCCCTATCTCCAACCCCATTCTTCTCCATGATTAAATCACCTCCCACCAGGCCCCACCTTTAACATTACCCATTACAATTCCACATGAGTTTGGTAGGGATTCAGAGCCAAATAATATTATTCTGACCCTGGCCCCCATATCTCATGTTGTTCTCACACTGCAAAATACAATGATGCCTTCTCTACAGTTTCCCAATGTCTTCACTCATTCCAGCATTTACTGAAATGTCCAAAGCCCAAAGTCTCTTCTGAGACAAGGCTGTGGTCTCTTCTGCCCCTGAGCCTCTGAAATACAAAGCAAGTTAACTACTTCCAAAGTACAATGATTGTACAGGCATTGGGTAAGTATTTCCACCCAAAAGGAAGAAATTTGCCAGAAAGAAGCACAAAACACAGATGGGACGTACAAACCCCATAGGAGTCAAAAATCCAACAGCCAGTCATTCAGTCCTACAGTTTCAAATCATTTTTTTTGAATCCAGATCCCACATTCAGAGCACAAGGGTATGAGGCCTGGGCTCCCAAGGCCTTGGGCAGCTCTGCACCTGTGACGTTGCAGGGTCTAACCTCCACAGTTGCCCTCATGGGCTGGGCTGCTGTTAAGTAGCTCATTTTCCACAATGAGGGTGCAAGCTGCTAGTGAGTCTATGAATCTGGCATTTGCAGAATGGTGCCTCCCTGTATGGGGGTTCCAACGCTATATGTTCCTTCTGTACTGCCCTAGTAAAGGAGGCTCTGTCTCTTGGAAAAGTTTCGACCTGGACACCCAGGTTTTTCCATACATACTCTGGAGTCCAGACAAAGGATCCCCAGCCTCCAGTTTTGTGCTCTGTGCAGCTGCTGGCTTAACACTCTGTGGAAGCCACCAAGGCTTGCAGCTTGCACCCTCTGAAGCAGTGACTCAAGCTGTACCTGTGCATCTTTCAACCATGGCTGGAGCTGGAGCTGGAGCTTCAGGAATCCAGCCAGCAGTGTCCTGAGGATGGACATAGCAGCGGGGCCATAGGGCTGGAGAAGGAAACCATTCTTTTCTCCCAGGCCTCAGGGCCTGTGATAGCAAGGGCTGCTGAACAAGTCTCTGAAATGCCTTCAAGGCCTTTTTAACATTGCATTGGCTAATAGCACTGAACTCCATTTTATGCACATTTCTGAAGCCTTCTTGAACTTTCCCACTGATAATAAGCTTTTCTTTTTGACCACTTGGCCAGGCTGCAAATTTTCCCAACTTTTAAGCTCTCCTTGTCATTTAAATATGTTTCACCTTGAGGTCATTTCTTTGGTCACATATTTTCATGTGAGACCTTCTAAGCCTGGTGGTCACTGTCCATCCTTATGTCACCTTTTTAAGTATAACTATTTAACAAGTCTCTACACTGATCCAAACTTTTCCTCATCTTCCTGTCTTCTTCCAAGAACTCCAAACTCTCCAACCTCTGGCCATTACACACTTCTTTACCTGCTTCTACATTTTCAGCTGCATGTGTCACAGCCTGGCAATGTGGTAAAAGAAGAAAAGTCCATTTCAGGAGAAAAATTAATGCAGGCTTCAGACATTTGCCTGAAAAGAAGCTGAGTGCTGATTGCCAAGACAATAAGGAAAAGGTCTTGAAGGCATTACATAGCTCCACTTTACAGCATTAATTTTCTGTATAATCAGAAAGAAAAGAGGTTGAACTGGCTCATGGTTCTGCAAGCTTTAAATAAATCATAGAGGCTTCTGCTTCTGGGAGGACTCAGGAAGCCTCCCAATCATACCAGAAGACCAAGCAGCAATGGGAAGTTTTATATGGCAGAAGTAGAAAAAAGACAGAGAGAGGAAAAATGTGCCACACGTTGTGTAACCCTGTTATACAACCAGATTTCCTGAGAACTCCGTATTACAAGGTCAGCATCAAGAAGATGTTGCTTAACCATTGGTGAAAGATCTGCCCCCTACCACCCCCACCCCCCACTGTTTCCAGGCAGAAGCCTCAGGCAGAGGCAGAGCCTCTTGGAAAACCTCTACTAGGACAGTGCAGAAAAAATATATGGGCTTGGAGGCCGCACGCAGGAGGTTACCATCCACCAGACCACATATTCATAGACCCACCAACAGCTTGCATTCTCAGTATGGAAAAGCTACAGGCACTCAACACCAGCCCAGCCCACGAGGGCAGCCATGGGGGCTAAAGCCTGCAAAGCCACAAGTGCACTGCCCCGGTAGAGGTTTTCCATGAGGCTCTGCCTCTGCAGCAGGCTACTCCCTCTTCCTACTGCCCACCACCCTCTCACCACCCTACTGCCAGCCTACTCCTCCCCACCCTACCTACTTGTTTTTCCTTCCACCCCTACCAACCTCCCGTTTGTGATTAAATCACCTCCCACCAGGCCCCACCTACAACAGTCAGGAATACAATTCCCCATAAGTTTTTGTGGGGAAACACAGCCAAACCATATTGTTCTGACCCTGACACCTCCAAATCTCATGTCCTTCTCACACAGAAAAATACAAAAATACCTTTTCAAAAGTTTCCAAAAGTCTTAACTCATTCTAGCAGTAACTCAAATGTAGTAAGTTCAAGTCTCATCCAAGACAAGGCTGCAATCCCTTCTGCCTATGAGTCCCTGAATGTAAAAGACAATTCTTTTCTTTCAAGTTACAATGATGGCACAGGCACTGGGTAAGCTTTCTCACTCCAAAGGGAAGATTTTCCCTTAAAAATAACACAATTGGGACACAGGCCCAATCCGAGTCCAAAACCCAGCAGGACAGCATTCATTTATCATGAGAACTCAATATCGCACAGACTGCATTAAGGAGATAGTATTTAACCATTTGTGAAGGATCTGCCACCCATCCCCATGTTTCACCCTCACCCACACCATGAACCCCTATTCTCCCACATCCACCTTCCAACCCCCATTCTCTACCATGATTAAATCACCTTCTACCAAGCCCCACATTTAACATTCCCCATTACAATTCCACATGAGTTTTGGAAGGGACACAGAGCCAAATCATATTATTCTCCCCTTGGTCCCCAATCTCATGACTTTCTTATACTGCAAAATATAATGATGTGTTCTCTAAGGTTCCCCAATGTCTGAACTCATTCCAGCATTTACTCAAATGTCCATTTGTGAAGGATCCACCCCCAACCCCTGCCTTTCAGCCACAACTGCACCACAATCCCCCAACCCTCCCCACCCACCTATAGCCCCAAACCTCAACACCACCCCCAGCATCCAACCTCCACGCTCCACCATGATTAAATCACCTTCCATCAGACCCCAACTTTAACATTTCCCATTAAAATTCCACATGAGTTTTGGTAGAGACACAGAGCAAAAACATTATTCTGTCCCTGGTCCCCCAGATCTCTTGTCTTTTTCATACTGCAAAATGCAATGATGCCTTCCCTAGAGTCCCCCAAATCTTAACTCATTCCAGCATTTACTCAAATATCCAAAGCCCAAAGTCTCTTCAGAGACAAGGCTACAGTTGCTTCTGCCCTGAGGCTCTGAAATACACAGCAAATTAACTACTTCCAAGGTACAATGATTGTACAGGCATTGGGTAATCATTCCCAGCCAAAAAGACGAAATTTGCCAGAAAGAAGCACAAAACACAGATGGGATTTACAAACCCCCTGCAAGTCAAAAGCCCAGCAGGCCAGTCATCCATCATACACCACCAAATCATCTTTTTGGAATCTATGTCCACATCCAGAGCACAGGGTGACGTGACAGCTGGGATCCCAAGGCCTTGGGCAGCTCTGCACCTGTGGCATTGCAGAATCTTTCCCCTACAGCTGCCCTCATTGATGAGGCTGGTGTTGAGTGCCTGTAGCTTTTCAACACTAACGGTGCAAGCAGGTGGTGGGTCTATGAAACTGGGGCCTGGAAAATGGTGCCTCCCTGTATGGGGACTACAATCCTATACTCTCCTTGTGTACTGCCCCAGTAGAGGTTTACCATGAGGCTCTGCCTCTTGGAAAAGCTTCTGGTTGGACAATCCAGCTTTCTGATACATTCTCTGGAGTCTAGATGAAGGCTCGGAAGCTTCTAGTCCTTGCTTTATGCACCTGCTGGCTTAACACCATGTGGAAGCCACCAAGTCTTCGAGCTTGCATCCTCTGAAGCAGTGACACAAGCTGTACCTGTGCATCTTTCATCCGTGGCTGGAGCAGGAGATGGAGCTGCAGGGATGCAGGCAGCAGTGTCCTGAGGCTGCACACAGCAGTGGAGCCATGGGGCTGGCCCAGGAAACCATTCTTTTCTCCTGGGCCCCAGGGCCAGTGACAGCAAGGGCTGCTACAAAGGTCTCTGAAATGCCTTCAGGCCTTTTTCCATAGTCTTGAATTATTAGCACTGGGATCCTTTTTATGCAAATATCTGAAGCCTTCTTGGCTTTCCCCCTGAAAATCAGCTTTTCTTTTTGACCACTTGCGCAGATTACAAATTTTGCATATGTTTAAACTCTGCTTCTCATTTAAATATAAGTTCCAACTTATAGTCATTTCTTTGATCACACATAGGTGCGCAGGCTGTTCAATGTAGGCAGGACAACTCTTGAGCATTGTTGCTTAGAAGTTCATTCCACCAGACACACTCTAAATCATCACCCTCAAGTTCAGTTTCACAGATCTCCTGGGAAGGGTCACTGTGTAGTCAATTACTTTGCTAAGGCAAAACAAAAAACCTTGGCTCCTGTTCCCAGTAAGTCCTTCATTTTCACCTGAGATCTTGTAAGCCTGGTCTTCAGTGTCCATCCTTATGTTAGCCTTTTAATCACAACTATTTAACAAGTCTCTGCAATGGTCCAAAGTTTCCCTCATCTTCCTGTTTTCTTCCAAGCTCTCCAAACTCTCTTAACCTCTGGCCCTTACCTAATTCAGAACCTGCTTCTACACTATCAGCTATCATTTTCACAGCCTGGCAATGTGGTAACAGAAGAAAAGTCTATTATCAGGGGGAAACATCAAGATGGCATCCAATATTTGCATTGAAAAAAGCTCAGTGCTAATAGCCAAGAGATTGGGGGAAGGCCTAGAAGTCATTTCATAGCTTCACTTTGCAGCATTAATTTTCTGTATGTACATAAAGAAAAGAGGTTTAGTTGACTCACAGTTCTTCAGGCTATAAAATAAGCATAGTGGATTCTGCTTGTAGGAGGACTCAGGAAGCCTCCCAATCATACCAGAAGGCCAAACAGCAATGAAATGTTTCATGTGCCAGGAGTAGAAGCAACACAGAGAGAGGAAAGAGGTGCGACATCCTGTTATACAACTAGATCTCATGAGAGGTCAGTATCAGGAGATCAGCATCAAGAAGATGGTGCTTAACTGTTGCTGAAGGATCCACCCACCAGCCCATATCCACCACCCACTGTTTCCAAGCAGAAGCCTGAGACAGAGGTAGATCCTCTTGGAAAACCTCTACTATGGCTGTTTAGAAGAAAACTATGGGCTTGGAGTCCCCATGTAGGATACCACCATCCTCCAGACCCCAGATTCATAGACCTATCAACAGCTCACGCCCCAAGTATGGAAAAGCTACAGGCACTCAACACCAGCACAGCCCATGAGAGCAGCTACAGGTGCTAAACCCTGCAAAGCCACAGGTGCACTGCCTTAGTAGAGTTTTTCCATGAGACTCTGCCTCTGCAGCAGGCTACTCCCATCCTGCTACACACCACCCTACAGCCAGCCTACTCCTCCCCACCTTACCCACCTGTTTTGACTTCCAATCCAACCCCTCTCCCATCCATGAATAAATCACCTCCCACCAGGCCCCACCTGCAACATTCGGGATTACAATTACATGTGAGTTTAGGTAGGGACACACAGCTAAACCATATTATTCTGACCATGATCCCCCGAATATCATATCCTTCTCACAGAGTAAAATACAATCAGGCCTTTTCAAAAGTTGCCGAAAGTCTTAAGTCATTTCAGCATTAACTCAAATGTAAAAAGTTCAAAGTCTCACCTGAGAAAAGTCTACAGACCCTTTGGCCTAAAAGTTCCTGAATTTAAAAGGGATTTCTTTTCTTTCAAGGTACAAAGATGGTACAGGTATTGGGTAAGTTTTGTCAATCCAAAGGGGAGAGGTTTGCCAGGAAAATAACACAAATGGGATCACAGGGCCAATGCAAGTCCAAAACCCAGGAGGCCAGTATCCATTCAATCTCACAGCTCCAAAACCATCACGAGAACTCACCATCATGAGGAAAGGATTAAGGAGATGGTGTTTAACCATTTGTGAAGGATCCCCCCCACCCCCACTTTTCACCCCTCACCCCCACCATAATCCACCCATTCTCCCCAATCTCCACCTTCCAACACCCAGTGTCCTCCATGATTAAATCACCTTCCACCTGGCCCCACTTTTAACATTTCTGATTACAATTCCACATGAGTTTCCATAGGGACACACAGCCAAATCTTATTATTCTGTCCCTGCCCCACAAATCTCATGTACTTCTCACTTTGCAAAATACAATGATGCCTTACTTACCATTCCCCAAGCCACTGTACTTTTTTTTTACAGCCTGCAGAACCATGAGCCAATTAAACCCCTTTTTGTTATGATCATACAGAAAATTAGTACTCTGAAGTAAAGCTATGAAATGCCTTCAATGAGTTTTCCCCATCATCTTAGCTAAGACCCCCAAGGTCTTAACTCATTCCAGCATTTACTCAAATGTCTGAAGCCCAAACTCTCATCTAAGACAAAGATGCAGTCTCATCTCCTCCTGAGCCTCTGAAATACAAAGCAAGTTAACTACTTCCAAGGTATGATTGTCCAGACATTAAGAATTCCCAACCAAAAGGAAGATTTATGCCAGAGAGAAGAACAAAACACGAACGGGACTTACAGGTCCCATGAAATTCCAAAACCCAGCAGGCCAGTTATTCAAACCTACAGCTCCAAAGTCATCCTTTTTTAATCCTTGTCCCACATCGAGGGCACAAGGGTATGAGGGCTGGGTTCCCAAGGCCTTGGGCAGCTCTCTACTTGTGGCTTTGCAGTGTTCAGTCCCCACAGCTGCCCTTATGGGCTGTGCTGGTGTTGACTGCCTGTAGTTTTTACCCACAGAGGGTATAAAGTTCTTGGTGGGTCTATTAATCTGGGGTCTGCATGATGCTGGCATCCAGTGTGGGGGCTCCAACCCCATATTTTCCTTCTGCACTGCCCTAGTACAGGTTTCCCAGGAGGCTCTCCTTTTTTGGCAGCCTTCTGTCTGGACACCCAGGCATTTTCATACATCTTCTGAAATCTATATGAAGGCTCTGAAGCCTCTGGGCTAGTGCTCTGTGCACTCGCTGGCTTAAAACTATGTGGAAGCCATGAAGCCTTATAGCCTGTACCCTCTGAAGCAGTGATGCAATCTGTACCTGTGCATCTTTCAGCCAAGGTTGGAGCAGGAGCTTGGGCTGCCGGGATGCAGGCAGCAGTGTCCTGAAGCTGCACACAACAGCAGGATCATGGGGCTGGCCCAAGAAACCATTCTTCTCTCCTAGGCCCCAGGACCTCTGACAGCAAGGGCTACTGCAAATATCTCTGAAATGCCTCCAAGACTTTTCCCCCCATTGTCTTGGCTATTAGCACTGGCCTCCATTTTCTGCAAGTTTCTGGAGCCTTCATGAATTTTCCCCCTGAAAATCAGCTTTTCTTTTTGACCACTTCGCCAGGCTACAGATGTTCCAAACTTTTGAGCTCTGCTTGTCATTTAAATATAAGTTCCGACTTGAGGTCATTTCCTCGGTCACACATAACCTCGGTCACACGTGAGAGCACAGGCTGTTTGATGCACACAGACCCCCACCCCTGTGCTATGCTGCCTAGAAGTTCATTCCACCAGATATGCACTAAATCGTCACCCTGGAGTTCAAACTTTCACAGATCTTGAGGGCAAGTTCGCCCTACAGCCATGTTCTTTGCTACAGCAAAACAAAAGGCAACCTTGGCTCCCATGCCCAGTAAGTTCCTCATTTTCATCTGAGACCTTGTAAGCCTGGCCTTCACTGTCCATCCTTCTGCCAGCCTTTTAATCACAACTATTTAACAAGTGCCTACAGTGGTCCAAATTTTCCTTCATCTCCCTGTCTTCTTTCAAGATCTCCAAACTCTCCAACCTCTGGCTGTTATCCACTTCTGAACCTGCTTTACATTTTCAGATATCTTTGTTGCAGCCTGGCAATGCAGAAGAAAAAGAAGTCCATTTTCAGGGGGAAACTTCAAGAAGCCTTCAGATATTTGCATTAAAAAGAAGTCCAGTGCTAATAGCCAAGACGATGGGGAAATGTCATTGAAGATATTTCATAGCTCCACTTCGCAGTGCTTTATTTTCTGTATGATCATAATGAAAAGGGGTTTAATTGGCTCATGGTTCTGCAGGCTGTAAAGAAAGCATAGTGACTTCTGCTTCTGGGAGGACTCAGGAAGCCTCCCAATCATACCAGTAGGAAAACAGCAATGAAATGTTTCATACAGCAGGAGTAAAAGCAAGGCTGAGAGAGGAAAGAAGTGCCACACCGTCCTATAACCAGATCTCATGAGAACTCACTATCACTAGGTCAGCATCAAGAAGATGGTGCTTAACCATTGGTGAAGGATCCTCCCCCCAACACAGCTCCACTCCCTACCGTTCCAGACAGAAGCCTGCTGCAGAGGCAGAGGCTCTTGGAAATCCTGTACTATGGCAGTGCAGAAGGAAAAGAACGGCTTTGAGTGACTATGCAGGACGCCACCATCCTCTAGACCCCAGATTCATAGACCTACCAACAGTTCACACCCTCAGTATGGAAAAGTGATAGGCACTCAACACCAGACCAGCCCATGAGAGCATCCATGGGGGCTAAAGCCTGCAAAGCCACAGGCCCACTGCCCTGGTAGAGGTTTTCCATGAGCCGCTGCCTCTGCAGCAGGCTACTCCCCCTTCCTAATACCCACCACCTTCCCACCACCCTACAGCCAGCCTACTCTTCCCCACCCTACTCACCCCTTTTTTCTTCCACCCATACCCCTCCCATCCATGATTAAATAATCTCACACCAGGCCCCAACTCCAACATTTGGGATTACAATTCCACATAAGTTTTTCCAGGGGCACATAGCCAAGTCATATTATGCTGACCTTGACCCCACCAAATCTCATATCCTTCTCACAGAATAAAATACAGTCGTGCCTTTTCAAAGTTTCCAAAAGCCTTAACTCATTCCCGCATTAACTCAAATGTAAAAAGTTCAAAGTCTCATCTGAGACAAGACTACAGTCTCTTCTGCCTATGAGTCCCTGAAGTTAAAAGGGTGTTCATTTCTTTCAAGGTACAATGATGGTACAGATATTGGGTAAGCTTTCTCAATCCAAAGGGAAGAAATTTCCAAGAACAATAACACAAATGGAACCACAGGCCCAATGGACATCCAAAATCCCACAGGTCAGTTTTCATTCAATCTCACATCTCCAAAATCATGAAGAGAACTCAATATCAGAAGGACAGCATTAAGGAGATGGTGTTTAACCATTTGTGAAGGATGCACCCCCACCCCTGCCTTACACCCCCAATCCCACCACAATCCCATCCAACCCTCCTCACCACCGAATCCCCCCCAACCATCCCCAACCCCCAACCATCCAACCTCCTCTCTCCATCATGATTAAAACACCTTCCACCAGCCCCCACCTTTAACATTTCCCATTAACATGCCACATGAGCTTTGGTAGAGACAGAGAGCCAAAACATATTATTCTCTCCCTGGTCCCCCAATGTTCATGTCTTTCTCACATTGCAAAATGCAATGATGCCTTCCCTAGAGTCTCTCAAATCTTAACTCATTCAAGCATTTACTCAAATCCCCAAAGCCCAGAGTCTTATCTGAGACAAGTCTACAGTCCCTTCTGCTCATGAGCCACTGAATTACATATAAAGGAAGTTTACTGCTTCCAAGGTGCAATGATTTTACAGGCATTGAGTAAGCATTCCCAGCCAAAAGGAAAACATTTGCGAGAAAGAAGCACAAAACACAGATGGGACTTACAGACCCCATGTAATTCAAAAACCCAGCAAGCCAGTCATTGAATCCTAAAGCTCCGAAGTCATCTTTTCTGAATCTATATCCCACATCTGGAGCACAGGGGTGGATGGCTGGGCTCCCAAGGCCTTGGGCAGCTCAGCATCTGTGCCTGTGCAGGGTCTATCCCCCATAGATGCCCTCATGGGCTGGGCTGGTGTTGAGTGCCTGTGGCTTTTCCACACTGAGGGTGCCAGCAGTTGGCGGGTCTATGAATCTGGGGTACGGAAAATGGTGCATTCTTGTGTGGGGGCTACAACCCCATATGTTCCTTCTGTACTGCCCTAGTAAAGGTTTCCCATGAGGCTCTGCCTCTTGGAAAAGCTTCTGCCTCAACACACAGGTTTTCCCGTACATACTCTGGAGTCTAGACCAAGGCTCCCAAGCCTCTAGTTTTGTGCTCTGTGCACCTGCTGGCTTAGAACTATGTGGAAGCCACCAAGGTTTGAAGCTTGCACCCCTGAAGCAGTGATGCAAGCTGTACCTGTGCATCTTTCAGCCATGGCTGGAGCTGGAGCTGGAGCTGGAGATGCAGGGATGCAGGCAGCAGTGTCCTGAGGATGGACACAGCAGCGTGACCATGGGACTGACCCAGGAAAGCATTCTTCGGTCCTAGAACACAGGGCCTGTGACAGCAAGCTCTGCTGCAAAGGTCTCTGAAATGGCTTCAATGCCTTTTAGACATTACCTTAGCTATAAGCACTGGGCTCCATTTTATGCAAATTTCTGAAGCCTTCTTGAATTTTCCCACTGAAAATCAGCTTTGCTTTTTGACCACTTGGCCAGGCTGCAAATTTTCCAAACTTTTAAGCCCTGCTTCTCATTTAAATATAACTTTCAATTTGAGGTCATTTATTCAGTCACAGAGAAGACCACAGGCTGTTCAAAACAGACAAGACACCTCTTGAGCTTTGCTGCCTACTTCATTTCACCAGATATACCCTAAATCACCACACTCAAGTTCAAAGTATCAGAGGTCTCCAGGGCAGGGACACCATCCAGCCAAGTTCTTTGCTAAGGCAAAATAAAAGTAACCTTGACTTCTGTTCCCAGTAAGTTGCTCATTTTCATCTGAGACCTTCTAAGCCTGGCCTTCACTGTCCATCCTTCAGTCACTCTTTTAATTATGGCTATGTAACAAGTCTCTATGGTCACCCTTTTAATTTAACACATCTCTACAATAGTCCAAATTTTCCCTTATCTTTCTGTCTTCTTCCAAGCCCCCCAAACTGTACAGCGTCCGGTCGTTACCCACTTCTGAACCTCCCTCTACATTTTCAGCTACCGTTGTGGAAGCCTGGCAATGTAGTGAAAGAAGAAAAGTACATTTTCAGGGGGAAAATTCAAGAAGGCTTCAGATATTTCCATATAAAAGAAGCCAAATGCTAACAGTAAAAAAAAAAAAATGGGGAAAAAACCTTGAGGACATTTCATAGCTCCACTCTACAGTACAAATTTTCTGTAATATTATTTTTTAAAGAGGTTTAATTGGCTCATGGTTTTGCAGGATGTAAAGGCAGCAAGTGGTTTCTGCTTCTGGGAGGACTCAGGGAGCCTCCCAATCATACCAAAAGGCCAAGTGACAATGAGGTGTTCCATATGGCAGGAGTAGGAAGAAGACACAGAGAGGAAAGAGGTGCCACACCAGGTTATACAACCAGATCTCATGAGAACTCACTATCAGGAGATCAGCATCAGGAAGATTAACCAATGGTGAAGGATCCACCCACACCACCGCCTACTGTTTCCAGGCAGAAACCTCCTGCAGAGGCAGAACCTCTTGGAGAACCTCTACGAGTGCAGTGCAGAAGGAAAATATGGGCTTGGAGACCCCACACAGGAGGCCACCATCCTGCAGACTGCAGATTCATAGACCCACCAACAGCTTGCACTCTCTGCGTGGAAAAGCTACAGGCACTCCACACCAGCCCAGCCCATGAGAGCAGCCATGGGGGCTACACCCTGCAAAGCCACAGGTGCACTGCCCTAGTACAGACTTTCCATGAGCCTCTGCCTCTGCAGCAGGCTACTCCCCCTTCCTGCTACCCACCACCCTCTCACCACCCTACTAACAACCTACTCCTCACCCTACCCACCCCTTTTCCTTCCACACCCGCCCCCCTCCCATCCATGATTAAATCACCTCCAGCCAGGCCCCACCTCCAACATTAAGGATTACAATTCACATGAGTTTTGGTAAAGAAACACAGCCAAATCACATTATTCTGACCCTGATCCCCACAGTCTCATATCCTTCTCACAGAGCAAAATATATTCATGCCTTTTCAAAAGTTTCCAAAAGTCTTAAATCATTCCAACATAAACTCAAATGTAACAAAATCAACATCTCATCTGAGACACTTCTACAGTACGTTTTGCCTATGAGTCCCTGAATTTAAAAGGATGTTCTTTTCTTTCAAGGTACAATAATGGTACTGGCTTTGGGTAAGCTTTTTCAATCCAAAGGGAAGAAATTTCCCAGGAAGAAAACAGAAATGGGACCACAGGCCTAATACAAGTCCAAAACCCAGAAGGCCAGTATCCATTCAATCTTACAGCTCCAAAGTCATGAAGAGAACTATCACAAGGACAGCAATAAGGAGATTGTTTAATCATTTGGGAAGGATCCCAACCCCAATTTTCACTCCTCACCCGCACCATAAATCCCCGATTCTCCCTACGCCCCATCTTCCAACACCCACTCTCCACAGTGATTAAATCACCTTCCACCAGGCCCCACCTTTAACATTCCAATGACAATTCCACATGAGTTTTGGTAGAGACACAGAGCTGAATTTTATTATTCTGTCCCTGGCTCCCCAAATCTCATGTCCTTCTCACGTTGCAAAATACAATGATGCCTTCCCTACAGTCTCCTAAAATCTTATAACATTACAGCATTTATACACATGTTCAAAGCTTAAAGTCTCATCTGGCATAAGGCTACAGTTGCTTAGGCCCATGAGCCTCTGAAATATAAAGCAAGTTAACTACTTCCAAGGTACAATGCTTGTACAGGCATTGGGTAAGCATTCCCAGCCAAAAGGAAGAATTTTGCCAGGAAAAAACAAAACACAGACAGGACTTACTGGCCGCATGAAACTCCAAACCCAGAAGGCCAGTCATTCAATCCTACAGCTCCAAAATCACCCTTTTTGAAACCCTGTCCCACATCCAGGGCACAGGGGTGTGAGGGCTGTGCCCCCAAGGCCTTGGGCAGCTTGGCACCTGTGTCTTTGCAGGGTTTATGCCCATGGCTGCCCTCATGGGCTTGGCTGGTGTTGAGTGCCTGTGACTTTTCCCCACGAAGGATACAAGTTGTTGGGTGTCTATGAATCTGTGGTCTGCATGATGGTGGCCTCCAGTGTGGAGGCTCCAACCCCATGTTTTCGTTCTGCACTGCTCTAGTAGAAGTTTCATATAATGCTCTGCCTTCTTGGGATGCTTTTGCCTGGACACCCAGGCATTTCCATACATCTTCCAAAATCTATGGAGAGGTTCCCAAGCCTCTAGTCTCATGCTCCGTCCACCAGTGGCTTAACACTATGAGGAACTTACCAAGGCTTCTAGCCGGCACCCTCTGTAGCAGTGACCCAAGCTGTACCTGTGCATCTTTCAGTCATGGCTGGAGCTGGAGCTGGAGCTGGAGCTGCAGGGATGCAGGCAGCAGTGTCCTGAGGCTGCACACAGAAGGGGGTCATGGAACTCCACCAGGAAACCATTCTTCTCTCCTAGGCCCCAGGGCCTGTAACAGCAAGGGCTGCTGCAAAGGTCTCTGAAATGCCCTCAAGGCCTTTTCCCTATTGTCTTGTCTATGAACACTGGGCTCCTTTTCAGGCAAGTTTCTGAAGCCTTCCTCAATTTTCCCCCTGAAAATCAGCTTTTCTTTTTGACCACATGGCCAGGCTGCAAATTTTCCAAACTTTTGAGTTCTGTTTCCCACGTAATGTAAGAGTTGGGACTCATTTAATGTAAGTCTCATCCAGAGGTCATTTCCTCCATCACACATAAGAGCACAGGCTGTTTGATGCAGACAGGACACCTCATGAGCTTTGCTGCCCAGTTCATTCCACCAGATACTCAGTAAATCATCACCCTCAACTTCAAAGTTTCACAGATCTCCAGGGCCAGGTCACCGTGCAGCCACGTTCTTTGCTAAGGAAACAAAAGTAACTTTGACTTCTGTTCCCAGTAAGTGCTTCATTTTCATCTGAGACCTTCTAAGTCGGGCTTTCACTGACCATTTTCCTGTGAGCCTTCTGATCACAAGTGTTTAACAATTCTTTACAAAGATCCAAACTTTCTTTCATCTTCTTGTCTTTGAAGCCCTCCAAACTCTCCCGACCTCTGTCCGCTACTCCCTTCTGAACCTGCTTCTATATTATCACTATCTTTGCCACAGCCTGGCAATGTGGTAAAGGAAAACAAGTCCATTTTCAGGGGGAAATTTCATGAAGCCTTCACATACTTGAATGAAAAGAAGCTGAGTGCTGATTGGCAAGACAATGACATTTAATAGTTCCACTTTGCACCACTAATTTTCTCTATGATCATAAAGAAAAGAGGTTTAATTGGCTCATGATTCTGCAGGCCATAAGGAAACATAATGGCTTCTGAATTTGGGAGGACTCAGGAAGCCTCCCAATCATATCAGAATGTCCAGGGGCGACGAGATGATTCATGTGGCAGGAGTAGGCACAAGACAGAGAGAGGAAAGAGGGCCACACCCTATTATACAACCAGATCTCATGAGAACTCACTATCACAATGTCAGCATCATGAAGATGGTGCTTAACCATTGAGGAAAGAACAAACACCGACCCCCAACTCCCACTGTTTCCAAACAGAAGCCTGCTGCACAGGCAGAGCCTCTTGGAAAACCTCTACCAGGGAAGTGTGGAAGGAAAATATGGGCTTGAAGCCCCCATGCAGATGGCCACCAACCTCCAGACCCCAGATTCATAGACCCACCAACAGCTCACACCCTCTGTGGAAAAGCTACAGGCTTTTGCAAACCTCAACACCAACCCAGCCCATGAAAGGAGCTGCAGGGGCTCAACCCTGCAAAGCCACAGGTGCACTGCCCTAGTAGAGGTTTTCCATGAGGCTTTGCCTCTGCAGCAGGCTACTCCCCCTTCCTACTACCCCCAACCCTCCCACCATTCTACTGCCAGCCTACTCTTCCCCACCTTAACCAACCCTTTTGTGATACCCTACCTTGTTTTAACCTGATCGACTCTCCCTTAGCTGAGAGAGCCAGACAGACTCCATCTTGGCACCTTCATTTGCAGCCCCTTACACACACCCCTTCCTCAAGGACTTAACTTGTGCAAGCTGACTCCCAGCACATCAAAGAATGCAATTCCTGACAAGACACTCTGGCAAGCTACATCCACAGTTCCCAGGAATTCACCCTGTTGATGGTACCTAAAGCCCCCACATTTGTGTCCAATTGATAGTACCCAAAGCCCCCACATCTATCACCTTTTGATGGATTTAAAGCCCCTGCACCTGGAACTGTTTGTTTTCCTGTAGCCATTTATCTTTTTAACTTTTTTGCCTGTTTTGCTTCTGTAAGATTGCTTCACCTAGGCTCCCCCTCCCCTTTCTAAACCAAAGTATAAAAGAAAATCTAGCCCCTTCTTAGGGGCCGAGAGAATTTTGAGCACTAGCACTCTCTCGGTCGCCAGCAATAAAGGACTCCTGAATTCGTCTCATAGTGTGGGGTTTCTCTACAACTCGCTTGGTTACAACCCTTTTCCTTCCACCCCCAACCACCTCCAATCCATGATTAAATCATCTCCCCCAGGCCCCACCTTCAACATTTGGAATTACAATTACACCTGAATCTTTATAGGTACACACAGCCAAACCATATTATTCTGACCCTGATATCCCAGAATCTCATGTCCTTATCACAGAGCAAAATACAATCATGCCTTTTCAAAAGTTCCAGTAGCCTTAACACATTCCACGTGTAAAAAGTTCAAAGTTTCATATGAGACAAGGCTACTGTCCCTTCTGCCTATGAGTCCCTGAATTTAAAAGAGATTTCTTTTCTTTCAAGGTACAATGATGGTAGAGGTATTGTGTAAGCTTTCTCAATCCAAAGGGAAGAAATTTCCCAGAAAAATAACACAAACGGGCCCACAGGCCCAATGCAAGTCGAAAACCCAGCAGGGCAGTATTCAATCTCACAGCTCCAAAATCATCAAGAGAACTCACTGTCATGCGGACAGCATTAAGGAGACAGTGTTTACCCATTTGTGAAGAATCTGTCCCCCTCCCTCATCTTTCACTCAAACAAAATAATCTCTCCCATTCTCCCCACACGACTATCTCCAACACCCACTCTTCTCCAGGATTAAATCACCTCCCACCAGGTGCCACCTTTAACATTCCCTACTACAATTCCAAATGAGTATTGGTAGGCACACAGAATCAAATCATATTATTCTGGCTCTTGCTCCCCAAATATTGTATCCTTGTCACACTGCACAATACATTGAAGACTTCTTTACTGTCCCCAATGACTTAACTCATTCCAGCAATTACTAAAATGTACAAGGACTTACAGACCCCATGCAAGTCAAAAACCCAGAAGGCCAGTCATTGAATCCTACAGCTCCAAATCATCTTTTCTGAATCTACATCTCACATCTAGAGCACAGGTGTGTGATGCCTGGGCTCCCAAGGCCTTGGGCAGCTCTGCACCTGTGGCTGTGCAGGGTCTATCACCCACAGCTGCCCTCATGGGCTGGGCTGGTGTTGCGTGCCTGTAGCTTTTCACACTAAGGGTGCCATCTGTTGGTGGCTCTATGAATCTGGGGTCTGCAGAATTGTGCCTCCATATTTAGGGACTCCAGCCCTATATTATCCTTCTGTACTGCCCTAGTAAAGGTTTCCCATGAGGCTCTGCCTCTTGGAAAAGCTTCTGCCTCAACACCCAGGTTTTTCCGTACATACTCTGGAGTCTACACAAAGGCTCCCAAGCCTCTAGTTTTGTGCTCTGTGCACCTGCTGGCTTAACACTATGTGGAAGCCACCAAGGCTTGAAGCTTGCACCCCTAAAGCGTGATGCATGCTGTACCTGTGCATCTTTCAGCCACGGCTGGAACTAGAGCTGCAGGGATGCAGGCATCAGTGTCCTGCGGCTGCACATAGAGTGGGGTCATGGAACTGGCCCAGGAAAACATTCTTCTCTCCTAGGCCCCAGGGCCTATGATAGCAAGGGCTGCTACAAAGGTTTCTGGAATGGCTTCAAGGCCTTTTCCCTGTTATCTTGGCTATTAGCACTGGGCTCCTTTTCTTGCAAATTTCTGAATCCTTCCTCAGGTTTCCCCTGAAAATCAGCTTTTCTGTTTGACCATTTGGCCAGGCTGCAAATTTTTGAGTTCTGTTTCTCATTTAATATAAGAGTTGAGACTCATTTAACGTAAGACCCATCCAGATGTCATTTCCTCAGTCACACATAAGGGCACAGGCTGTTTGATACAGACAGGACACCCCTTGAGCTTTGCTGCCCAGAAGTTCATTCCATCAGATACGCAGTAAGTCATCACCCTCAACTTCAAAGCTTCACAGATCTCCAGGGCAGGGTCACTGTGCATCCACGTTCTTTGCTACAGCAAAACAAAAGTCACCTTGGCTCCTGTTTGCAGTAAGTTCCTCATTTTCATCTGAGAGCTTCTCAATCTGATCCTTACTGTCTATTTTCCTATGAATCTTCTGATCACAAGTATTTAACAACTCTTTACAAAGATCCAAACTTTCCCTCATCTCCCCGTCTTTGAAGTCCTCCAAACTCTCCAGAACTCCATCTGCCACCCCCTTCTGAACCTGCTTCTACATTGTCAGCTATCTTTGTCACAGGCTGGCAGTGTGGTGAAGGAAGACAAGCCCATTTTCAGGGGAAAAATTCAAGGAGGCTCCAGATACTTGAATAAAAAGAAGCCCATTGCTGATTGCCAAGACATTAGGGAGAAGGCCTTGAAGACATTTAATAGATCCACTTTGCAGTAATAATTTTCTCTATGATCATAAAGAAAAGAGGTTTAATAAGTTAATGATTCTGCAGGCTGTAAGGAAGCATAGTGGCTTCTGCATCTGACAGGACTCAGGAAGCCTCCCAATCATACCAGAATGTTAAGGGGCAAGGAGATGTCTCATATGGGAAGAGTAGGAACAAGACAAAGAAAGGAAACAGGTGTCATGTCCCATTATACAAGCAGATCTCATGAGAAGTCACTATCACAAGGTCAGCATCAAGAAGATGGTGCTTAAACATTGGTGAAGGATCTCCCACCCACCCCCGACTCCCACTGTTTCCAGGCAGAAGCCTCCTTCAGATGCAGAGCCTCTTGGAAAACCTCTATTATGGAAGTGCAGAAAGAAAATATGGGCTTTGAGCCCCCACACAAGTGACCACCAGCCTCCAGATCCCAGATTCATAGACCCACCAACAACTCACGCACTTAGTGTGTAAAAGCTACAGGCCCTCAATACCAGCCCAGCCCACGAGAACAGCTGAGGGGTTAAAACCTGCAAAGCCACAGGTGCACTTCCCTAGTGGAGGTTTTCCATGAGGCTTTACCTCTGCAGCAGGCTACTCCTCCTTCCCACTAACCCCCACCCTCCCACCACCCTACTGCCAACCCACTCCTCCCAATCCTACCCATCCCTTTTACCTTCCACCGCCAGCAACCTCCTGTCCATAATTAAGTCACCTGCTTCAACATTAGGGATTACAATTCCACATGAGTTTCATAGGGACACACAGGCAAACCATATAATTCTGACCCTGATATTCCACAATCTCATGCCTTTATCACAGAGCAAAATATCATCATGACTTTTCAAAAGTTTGCAAAAGTCTTAACTCATTCCAAATGTAAAAAATTCAAAGTCTCATCTGAGATAAGGCCACAGTCCCTTCTGCCTATGAGTCCCTGAATTTAAAACGGAGTTCTTTTCTTTCAAGGTACAATGATGGTAGAGACATTGTGTAAGCTTTCTCAGTACAAAGGGAAGAAATTTCCCAGAAAAATAACACAAATAGGCCCACAGGCCCAATGCAAATCCAAAACCCAGCAGGACAGTATTCACTCAATCTCTCAGCTCCAAAATCAAGAGGACTCACTGTCATGCGAACAGCATTAAGGAGAGAGTGCTTAACCATTTGTGAAGGATCTGCCCCCCACCCTCATCTTTCACTCCCACCCACAAAATAATCTCCCCATTCTCTCAACACCCTTACCTCCAACCCCATGCTTCTCCATGATTAAATCACCTCCCACCAGGCCCCACCTTTAACATTCCCCATTACAATTCCACATGAGTTTGGTAGGGATGCAGAGCCAAATCCTATTATTCTGACCCTGGCCCCCATATCTCATGCTGTTCTCACACTGCAAAATACAATGATACTTTCTCTACAGTTTCCTAATCCCTTAACTCATTCCAACATTTACTGAAATGTCCAAAGCCCAAAGTCTCTTCTGAGACAAGGCTGCCATACGTTCTACCTGCGCCTCTGAAATACAAAGCAAGTTAACTACTTCCAAAGTACAATGATTGTACAGGCATTGGGTAAGCATTCCCAGCCAAAAGGAAGAAATTTGCCAGAAAGAAGCACAAAACACAGATGGGACTTACGAACCCCATAGGAGTCAAAAATCCAACAGCCAGTCATTGAATCCCACAGTTCCAAATCACTCTTTTTGAATCCAGATCCCACATCCCGAGCACAAGAGTATGTGGCCTGGGCTCCCAAGGCCTTGGGCAGCTCTGCACCTGTGATGTTGCAGGGTCTAACCTCCACAGTTGCCCTCATGGGCTGGGCTGCTGTTGAGTACCTGTAGCTTTTCCACGATGAGGGTGCAAGCTGCTAGTGAGTCTATGAATCTGGCATTTGCAGAATGGTGCTTCCCTGTATGCGGTTCCAACCCCATATGTTCCTTCTGTACTGCCCTAGTAAAGGAGGCTCTGCCTCTTGGAAAAGTTTCGACCTGGACACCCAGGTTTTTCCATACATACTCTGGAGTCCAGACAAAGATCCCCAGCCTCCAGTTCTGTGCTCTGCGCACCTGCTGGCTTAACACTATGTGGAAGCCACCAAGGCTTGCAGCTTGCACCCTCTGAAGCAGTGACTCAAGCTGTACCTGTGCATCTTTCAACCATGGCTGGAGCTGGAGCTTCAGGAATCCAGCCAGCAGTGTCCTGAGGATGGACATAGCAGTGGGGCCATGGGGCTGGAGAAGGAAATCATTCTTTTCTCCCAGGCCTCAGGGCCTGTGATAGCAAAGGCTGCTGAACAAGTCTCTGAAATGCCTTCAAGGCCTTTTTAACATTGCATTGGCTATTAGCACTGAACTCCAATTTATGCACATTTCTGAAGCCTTCTTGAACTTTCCCACTGATAATAAGCTTTTCTTTTTGACCACTTGGCCAGGCTGCAAATTTTCCCAACTTTTAAGCTCTCCTTGTCATTTAAATATGTTTCACCTTGAGGTCATTTCTTTGGTCACATATTTTCATGTGAGACCTTCTAAGCCTGGTGGTCACTGTCCATCCTTATGTCACCTTTTTAAGTATAACTATTTAACAAGTCTCTACACTGATCCAAACTTTTCTTCATCTTCCTGTCTTCTTCCAAGACCTCCAAACTCTCCAACCTCTGGCCATTACACACTTCTTTACCTGCTTCTACATTTTCAGCTACATGTGTCACAGCCTGGCAATGTGGTAAAAGAAGAAAAGTCCATTTCAGGAGAAAAATTAATGCAGGCTTCAGACATTTGCCTGAAAAGAAGCTGAGTGCTGATTGCCAAGACAATAGGGAAAAGGTCTTGAAGGCATTTCATAGCTCCACTTTACAGCATTAATTTTCTGTATAATCAGAAAGAAAAGAGGTTGAACTGGCTCATGGTTCTGCAAGCTTTAAATAAATCATAGAGGCTTCTGCTTCTGGGAGGACTCAGGAAGCCTCCCAATCATACCAGAAGACCAAGCAGCAATGGGAAGTTTTATATGGCAGAAGTAGAAAAAAGACAGAGAGAGGAAAAATGTGCCACACGTTGTGTAACCCTGTTATACAACCAGATTTCCTGAGAACTCCGTATTACAAGGTCAGCATCAAGAAGATGTTGCTTAACCATTGGTGAAAGATCTGCCCCCTACCACCCCCACCCCCCACTGTTTCCAGGCAGAAGCCTCAGGCAGAGGCAGAGCCTCTTGGAAAACCTCTACTAGGACAGTGCAGAAAAAATATATGGGCTTGGAGGCCCCACGCAGGAATTTACCATCCTCCAGACCACAGATTCATAGACCCACCAACAGCTTGCATTCTCAGTATGGAAAAGCTACAGGCACTCAACACCAGCCCAGCCCACGAGGGCAGCCATGGGGGCTAAAGCCTGCAAAGCCACAAGTGCACTGCCCCGGTAGAGGTTTTCCATGAGGCTCTGCCTCTGCAGCAGGCTACTCCCTCTTCCTACTGCCCACCACACTCTCACCACCCTACTGCCAGCCTACTCCTCCCCACCCTACCTACTTGTTTTCCCTTCCACCCCTACCAACCTCCCGTTTGTGATTAAATCACCTCCCACCAGGCCCCACCTACAACAGTCAGGAATACAATTCCCCATAAGTTTTTGTGGGGAAACACAGCCAAACCATATTGTTCTGACCCTGACACCTCCAAATCTCATGTCCTTCTCACACAGAAAAATACAAAAATACCTTTTCAAAAGTTTCCAAAAGTCTTAACTCATTCCAGCAGTAACTCAAATGTAGTAAGTTCAAGTCTCATCCAAGACAAGGCTGCAATCCCTTCTGCCTATGAGTCCCTGAATGTGAAAGACAATTCTTTTCTTTCAAGTTACAATGATGGCACAGGCACTGGGTAAGCTTTCTCAATCCAAAGGGAAGATTTTCCCAGAAAAATAACACAAATGGGACACAGGCCCAATCCGAGTCCAAAACCCAGCAGGACAGCATTCATTTACCATGAGAACTCACTATCACACAGACTGCATTAAGGAGATAGTATTTAACCATTTGTGAAGGATCTGCCACCCACCCCCACGTTTCACCCCCACCCATACCATGCACCCCCATTCTCCCACATCCACCTTCCAACCCCCATTCTCTACCATGATTAAATCACCTTCTACCAAGCCCCACATTTAACATTCCCCATTACATTCCACATGAGTTTTGGTAGGGACACAGAGCCAAATCATATTATTCTCCCCGTGGTCCCCAATTTCATATCCTTCTTATACTGCAAAATACAATGATGCATTCTCTACAGTCTCCCAATGTCTGAACTCATTCCAGCATTTACTCAAATGTCCATTTGTGAAGGATCCACCCCCAACCCCTGCCTTTCAGCCACAACTGTACCACAATCCCCCAACCCTCCCCACCCACCTATAGCCCCAACCCTCCCCACCACCCCCAGGATCCACCCTCCACGCTCAACCATGATTAAATCACCTTCCACCAGCCCCCAACTTTAACATTTCCCAGTAAAATTCCACATGAGTTTTGGTAGAGACACAGAGCAAAAACATATTATTCTGTCCCTGGTCCCCCAGATCTCATGTCTTTTTCAAACTGCAAAATGCAATGATGCCTTCCCTAGAGTCCCCCAAATCTTAACTCATTCCAGCATTTACTCAAATATCCAAAGCCCAAAGTCTCTTCTGAGACAAGGCTGCAGTCCCTTCTGCCCTGAGACTCTGAAATACACATCAAATTAACTACTTCCAAGGTACAATGATTGTACGAGCATTGGGTAAACATTCCCAGCCAAAAAGAAGACATTTGCTAGAAAGAAGCACAAAACACAGATGGGATTTACAAACCCCCTGCAAGTCAAAAGCCCAGCAGGCCAGTCATCCATCATACACCACCAAATCATCTTTTTGGAATCTATGTCCACATCCAGAGCACAGGGTGATGTGACAGCTGGGATCCCAAGGCCTTGGGCAGCTCTGCACCTGTGGCATTGCAGAATCTTTCCCCTACAGCTGCCCTCATTGACGAGGCTGGTGTTGAGTGACTGTAGCTTTTCAACACTAACGGTGCAAGCAGGTGGTGGGTCTATGAAACTGGGGCCTGCAAAATGGTGCCTCCCTGTATGGGGACTCCAACCCTATACTCTCCTTGTGTACTGCCCCAGTAGAGGTTTACCATGAGGCTCTGCCTCTTGGAAAAGCTTCTGGTTGGACAATCAGGCTTTCTGATACATCCTCTGGAGTCTAGATGAAGACTCAGAAGCTTCTAGACCTTGCTTTATGCACCTGCTGGCTTAACACCATGTGGAGGCCACCAAGTCTATGAGCTTGCATCCTCTGAAGCAGTGACACAAGCTATACCTGTGCATCTTTCATCCGTGGCTGGAGCAGGAGATGGAGCTGCAGGGATGCAGGCAGCAGTGTCCTGAGGCTGCACACAGCAGTGGAGCCATGGGGCTGGCCCAGGAAACCATTCTTTTCTCCTAGGCCCCAGGACCAGTCACAGCAAGGGCTGCTACAAAGGTCTCTGAAACGCCTTCAAGGCCTTTTTCCCATTGTCCTGAATTATTAGCACTCGGCTCCTTTCTATGCAAATATCTGAAGCCTTCTTGGCTTTCCCCCTGAAAATCAGCTTTTCTTTTTGACCACTTGTGCAGATTACAAATTTTGCATATGTTTTAACTCTGCTTCTCATTTAAATATAAGTTCCAACTTATAGTCATTTCTTTGATCACACATAGGTGCACAGGCTGTTCAATGTAGGTAGGAGAACTCTTGAGCATTGTTGCTTAGAAGTTCATTCCACCAGATACACTCTAAATCATCACCCTCAAGTTCAGTTTCACAGATCTCCTGGGAAGGGTCACTGTGTAGTCAATTACTTTGCTAAGGCAAAACAAAAAAACCTTGGCTCCTGTTCCCAGTAAGTCCTTCATTTTCACCTGAGATCTTGTAAGCCTGGCATTCACTGTCCATCCTTATGTTAGCCTTTTAATCACAACTATTCAACAAGTCTCTGCAATGGTCCAAACTTTCCCTCATCTTCCTGTCTTCTTCCAAGCTCTCCGAACTCTATAACCTCTGGCCATTACCTAATTCAGAACCTGCTTCTACACTGTCAGCTATCTTTTTCACAGCCTGGCAATGTGGTAAAAGAAGAAAAGTCCATTATCAGGGGGAAACATCAAGAAGGTCTCCAATATCCGCACTGAAAAAAGCTCAGTGCTAATAGTCAAGACATTGGGGGAAGGCCTAGAAGTCATTTAATAGCTTCACTTCACAGCATTAATTTTCTGTATCTACATAAAGAAAAGAGATTTAGTTGACTGACAGTTCTTCAGGCTCTAAAGAAAGCATAGTGGTTTCTGCTTGTAGGAGGACTCAGGAAGCCTCCCAATCATACCAGAAGGCCAAGCGGCAATGAAATGTTTCATATGGCAGGAGTAGAAGCAAGACAGAGAGAGGAAAGAGGTGCGACATCCTGTTATACAACTACATCTCATGAGAGGTCAGTATCAGGAGATCAGCATCAAGAAGATGGTGTTTAACTGTTGGTGAAGGATCTGCCCACCACCCCGTATCCACCACCCACTGTTTCCAAGCAGAAGCCTGAGACAGAGGTAGATCCTCTTTGAAAACCTCTACTATGGCTGTTTAGAAGAAAACTATGGGATTCGAGCCCCCATTGAGGATACCACCATCCTCCAGACCCCAGACCCGTAGATCCATCAACAGCTCACACCCCAAGTATAGAAAAGCTACAGGCACTCAACATCAGCCCAGCCCATGAGAGCAGCTACAGGTGCTAAACCCTGCAAAGCCACAGGTACACTGCCTTAGTAGAGTTTTTCCATGAGCCTCTGCCTCTGCGGCAGGCTACTCCCCTCCTGCTACAAACCACCCTACAGCCAGCCTACTCCTCCCCACTTTACCCACCTGTTTTTATGTCCAATCACACCCCTCTCCCATCCATGAATAAATCACCTCCCACCAGGCCCCACCTGCAACATTCGGGATTACAATTACATGTGAGTTTAGGTAGGGACACACAGCTAAACCATATTATTCTGACCCTGATCCCCCGAATATCATATCCTTCTCACAGAGTAAAATACAATCATGCCTTTTCAAAAGTTGCCGAAAGTCTTAAGTCATTTCAGCATTAGCTCAAATGTAAAAAGTTCAACGTCTCACCTGAGAAAAGGCTACAGTCCCTTTTGCCTATAAGTTCCTGAATTTAAAAGGGATTTCTTTTCTTTCAAGATACAAAGATGGTACAGGCATTAGGAAAGTTTTCTCCATCCAAAGGGGAGAGGTTTGCCAGGAAAATAACACAAATGGGATCACAGGGCCAATGCAAGTCCAAAACCCAGGAGGCCAGTATCCATTCAATCTCACAGCTCCAAAACCATCACAAGAACTCACCATTATGAAGAAAGAATTAAGGAGATGGTGTTTAACCATTTGTGAAGGATCCTTCCCCACCCCCACTTTTCATCCCTCACCCCCACCATAATCCACCCATGCTTCCCAATCCCCAACTTCCAATACCCAGTGCCCTCCACAATTAAATCACCTTCCACCTGGCCCTACTTGTAACATTTCTGATTACAACTCCACATGAGTTTCCATAGGGACACACAGCCAAATCTTATTATTCTGTCCCTGCCCCACAAATCTCATGTCCTTCTCACTTTGCAAAATACAATGATGCCTTACTTACCATTCCCCAAGCCACTGTGCTTTTTTTTTTACAGCCTGCAGAACCATGAGCCAATTAAACCCCTTTTTGTTATGATCATACAGAAAATTAGTATTGTGAAGTGAACCTATGAAATGCCTTCAATGATTTTCCCCATCATCTTGGCTAAGACCCCCAAGGTCTTAACTCATTCCAGCATTTACTCAAATGTGTGAAGCCCAAAGTCTCATCTGAGACAAAGATGCAGTCCCTTCTGCTCCTGAGCCTCTGAAATACAAAGCAAGTTAACTACTTCCAAGGTATGATTGTCCAGACATTGAGTAAGAATTCCCAACCAAAAGGAAGATTTTTGCCAGAGAGAAGAACAAAACACAAACGGGACTTACAGGTCCCATGAAAATCTAAAACCCAGCAGGCCACTTATTCAAACCTACAGCTCCAAAGTCATCCTTTTTCAATGCTTGTCCCACCTCCAGGGCATAAGGGTATGAGGGCTGGGTTCCCAAGGCCTTGGGCAGCTCTCTACTTGTGGCTTTGCAGGGTTCAGTCCCCACAGCTGCCCTCATGGGCTGTGCTGGTGTTGACTGCCTGTAGTTTTTACCCACAGAGAGTACAAAGTTCTTGGTGGGTCTATGAATCTGGGGTCTGCATGATGCTGGCCTCCAGTGTGGGGGCTCCAAGCCCATATTTTCCTTCTGCACTGCCCTAGTACAGGTTTCCCAGGAAGGTCTGCTTTTTGGCGCCTTCTGTCTGGACACCCAGGCATTTTCATACATCTTCCGAAATCTATATGAAGGCTCCGAAGCCTCTGGGCTACTGCTCTGTGCACCCGCGGGCTTAACACTATGTGGAAGCCATGGAGCCTTATAGCCTGTACCTCTGAAGCAGTGATGCAATCTGTACCTGTGCATCTTTCAGTCAAGTACGAAGCAGGAGCTTGGGCTGCCGGGATGCAGGCAGCAGTGTCCTGAGGCTGCACACGGCAGCAGGATCATGGGGCTGGCCCAGGAAACCATTCTTCTCTCCTAGGCCCCAGGGCCTGTGACAGTAAGGGCTGCTGCAAACATCTCTGAAATGCCTCCAAGGCTTTTTTCCCCCATTGTCATGGCTATTAGCACTGGCCTCCATTTTCTGCAAGTTTCTGGCGCCTTCATGAATTTTCCCCCAGAAAATCAGCTTTTCTTTTTGACCACTTGGCCAGGCTGCAGATGTTCCAAACTTTTGAGCTCTGCCTGTCATTTAAATACAAGTTCCAACTTCAGGTCATTTCCTCGGTCACACATAACCTCGGTCACACATAAACTCGGTCACACATGAGAGCACAGGCTGTTTGATGCAGACAGGCCCTCCCCCCTTGTGCTATGCTGCCTAGAAGTTTATTCCACCAGATATGCACTAAATCATCACCCTCGAGTTCAAAGTTTCACATATCTTGAGGGCAAGTTCACCCTTCAGCCATGTTCTTTGCTACAGCAAAACAAAAGGTAACCTTGGCTCCCGTTCCAAGTTCCTCATTTTCATCTGAGACCTTGTAAGCCTGGCCTTCACCGTTCATCCTTCTGTGAGCTTTTTAATCACCACTATTTAACAAGTGCCTACAATGGTCCAAACTTTCCTTCATCTTCCTGTCTTCTTTCAAGATCTCCAAACTCTCCAACCTCTGGCTGTTACCCACTTCTGAACCTGCTTTACATTTTCAGCTATCTTTGTTGCAGCCTGGCAATGCAGAAGAAAAAGAAGTCCATTTTCAGGGGGAAACTTCAAGAAGCCTTCAGATATTTGCATTAAAAAGAAGTCCAGTGCTAATAGCCAAGACGATGGGGAAATGTCATTGAAGATATTTCATAGCTCCACTTCGCAGTACTTTATTTTCTGTATGATCATAATGAAAAGGGGTTTAATTGGCTCATGGTTCTGCAGGCTGTAAAGAAAGCATAGTGGCTTCTGCTTCTGGGAGGACTCAGGAAGCCTCCCAATCATACCAGTAGGAAAACAGCAATGAAATGTTTCATACAGCAGGAGTAGGAGCAAGGCTGAGAGAGGAAAGACGTGCCACACCGTCCTATAACCAGATCTCATGAGAACTCACTATCACTAGGTCAGCATCAAGAAGATGGTGCTTAACCATTGGTGAAGGATCCGCACCCCAACACAGCTCCACCCCCTACCGTTCCAGACAGAAACCTGCTGCAGAGGCAGAGGCTCTTGGAAATCCTGTACTATGGCAGTGCAGAAGGAAAATAAGGGCTTTGAGTGACTATGCAGGAGGCCACCATCCTCTACACCCCAGATTCGTACACCTACCAACAGTTCACACCCTCAGTATGGAAAAGTGATAGGCACTCAACACCAGCCCAGCCCATGAGAGTAGCCATGGGGGCTAAAGCCTGCAAAGCCACAGGCCCACTGCCCTGGTAGAGGTTTTCCATGAACCGCTGCCTCTGCAGCAGGCTACTCCCCCTTCCTACTACCCACCACCCTCCCACCACCCTACAGCCAGCCTACTCTTCCCCACCCTACTCACCCCTTTTTTCTTCCACCCCTACCCCTCCCATCCATGATTAAATAATCTCACACCAGGCCCCAACTCCAACATTTGGGATTACAATTCCACATAAGTTTTTCCAGGGGCACACAGCCAAATCATATTATGCTGACCTTGACCCCCCAAATCTCATATCCTTCTCACAGAATAAAATATAATCGTGCCTTTTCAAAGTTTCTAAAAGCCTTAACTCATTCCTGCATTAACTCAAATGTAAATAGTTCAAAGTCTCATCTGAGACAAGGCTACAGTCTCTTCTGCCTATGAGTCCCTGAAGTTAAAATGTTGTTCGTTTCTTTCAAGATACAATGATGGTACAGGTATTGGGTAAGCTTTCTCAATCCAAAGGGAAGAAATTTCCAAGAACAATAACACAAATGGGACCACAGGCCCAATGGACATCCAAAATCCCGCAGGTCAGTGTTCATTCAGTCTCACAGCTTCAAAATCATGAAGAGAACTCACTATCAGAAGGACGGAATTAAGGAGATGGTGTTTAACCATTTGTGAAGGATGCACCCCCGCCCCTGCCTTACACCCCCAACCCCACCACAATCCCCTCCAACCCTCCTCACCACCCAATCCCCCGCAACCCTCCCCAACCCCCAGCCATTCAACCTGCACTCTCCATCATGAATAAATCATCTTCCACCAGCCCCCACCTTTAACATTTCCCATTAACATTCCACATGAGCTTTGGTAGAGACAGAGAGCCAAAACATATTATTCTCTCCCTGGTCACCCAAAGTTCATGTCTTTCTCACATTGCAAAATGCAATGATGCCTTCCTTAGAGTCTCTCAAATCTTAACTCATTCCAGCATTTACTCAAGTTCCCAAAGCCCAGAGTCTTATCTGAGACAAGTCTACAGTCCCTTCTGACCATGAGCCACTGAATTATATATAAAGGAAGTTTACTACTTCCAAGGAGCAATGATTACACAGGCGTTGGGTAAGCATTCCCAGCCAAAAGGAAAACATTTGCGAGAAAGAAGCACAAAACACAGATGGGACTTACAGACCCCATGCAAGTCAAAAACCCAGCAAGCAGGCCAGTCATTGAATCCTACAGCTCCCAAATCATCTTGTCTGAATCTATACCACACATCTGGAGCACAGGGGTGGATGGCTGGGCTCCCAAGGCCTTGGGCAGCTCAGCATCTGTGGCGGTGCTGGGTATATCCCCCAAAGGTGCCCTCATGGGCTTGGCTGGTGTTGAGAGCCTTTGGCTTTTCCACACTGAGGATGCCAGTAGTTGGCGGGTCTATGAGACTGGGGTCTGGAAAATGGTGCATTCCTGTGTGGGGCTCCAAACCCATATGTTCCTTCTGTACTGCCCTAGTAAAGGTTTCCCATGAGGCTCTGCCTCTTGGAAAAGCTTCTGCCTCAACACACAGGTTTTTCCATACATACTCTGGAGTCTAGACAAAGGCTCCCAAGCCTCTAGTTTTGTGCTCTGTGCACCTGCTGGCTTAGTACTATGTGGAAGCCACCAAGGTTTGAAGCTTGCACCCCTGAAGCAGTGATGCAAGCTGTACCTGTGCATCTTTCAGCCATGGCTGGAGCTGGAGCTGGAGCTGGAGATGCAGGGATGCAGGCAGCAGTGTCCTGAGGATGGACACAGCTGCGTGACCATGGGACTGACCCAGGAAAGTATTCTTCGGTCCTAGAACTCGGGGCCTGTGACAGCAAGCTCTGCTGCAAAGGTCTCTGAAATGGCTTCAAGGCCTTTTAGACATTACCTTAGCTATAAGCACTGGGCTCCATTTTATGCAAATTTCTGAAGCCTTCTTGAATTTTCCCACTGAAAATCAGCTTTGCTTTTTGACCACTTGGCCAGGCTGCAAATTTTCCAAACTTTTAAGCCCTGCTTCTCATTTAAATATAACTTTCAATTTGAGGTCATTTATTCAGTCACAGAGAAGACCACAGGCTGTTCAAAACAGACAAGACACCTCTTGAACTTTGCTGCCTACTTCATTTCACCAGATATACCCAAAATCATCACACTCAAGTTCAAAGTTTCAGAGGTCTCCAGGGCAGGGACACCATCCAGCCAAGTTCTTTGCTAAGTCAAAACAAAAGTAACCTTGACTCCTCTTCCCAGTAAGTTGCTCATTTTCATCTGAGACCTTCTAAGCCTGGCCTTCACTGTCCATCCTTCAGTCACTCTTTTAATTATAGCTATGTAACAAGTCTCTATGGTCACCCTTTTAACACATCTCTACAATAGTCCAAATTTTCCCTTATCTTTCTGTCTTCTTCCAAGCCCCCCAAACTGTGCAGCGTCCAGTCGTTACCCACTTCTGAACCTCATTCTACATTTTCAGCTACCGTTGTGGCAGCCTGGCAATGTGGTAAAAGAAGAAAAGTCCATTTTCAGGGGGAAGATTCAAGAAGGCTTCAGATATTTCCATATAAAGGAAGCCAAATGCTAATAGTCAAAAAAAAAAAAATGAGGAAAAAACCTTGAAGGCATTTCATAGCTCCACTCTACAGTACAAATTTTCTGTAATATTATTTTTTAAAGAGGTTTAATTGGCTCATGTTTCTGCAGGATGTAAAGGCAGCAAGTGGTTTCTGCTTCTGGGAGGACTCAGGGAGCCTCCCAATCATACCAAAAGGCCGAGTGACAATGAGGTGTTCCATATGGCAGGAGTAGGAAGAAGACACAGAGAGGGAAGAGGTGCCACACCAGGTAATACAACCAGATCTCATGAGAACTCACTATCAGGAGATCAGCATCAGGAAGATTAACCAATGGTGAAGGATCCACCCACACCACCACCTACTGTTTCCAGGCAGAAGCCTCCTGCAGAGGCAGAACCTCTTAGAGAACCTCTACCAGTGCAGTGCAGAAGGAAAATATGGGCTTGGAGACCCCACACAGGAGGCCACCATCCTGCAGACTGCAGATTCATAGACCCACCAACAGCTTGCACTCTCTGCGTGGAAAAGCTACAGGCACTCCACACCAGCCCAGCCCATGAGAGCAGCCATGGGGGCTACACCCTGCAAAGCCACAGGTGCACTGCCCTAGTACAGACTTTCCATGAGCCTCTGCCTCTGCAGCAGGCTACTCCCCCTTCCTGCTACCCACCACCCTCTCACCACCCTACTAACAACCTACTCCTCACCCTACCCACCCCTTTTCCTTCCACACCCGCCCCCCTCCCATCCATGATTAAATCACCTCCAGCCAGGCCCCACCTCCAACATTAAGGATTACAATTCACATGAGTTTTGGTAAAGAAACACAGCCAAATCATATTATTCTGACCCTGATCCCCACAGTCTCATATCCTTCTCACAGAGCAAAATATATTCATGCCTTTTCAAAAGTTTCCAGAAGTCTTAAATCATTCCAACATTAACTCAAATGTAAGAAAATCAACATCTCATCTGGGAGAAGTGTACAGTACGTTTTGCCTATGAGTCCCTGAATTTAAAAGGATGTTCTTTTCTTTCAAGGTACAATAATGGTACTGGCTTTGGGTAAGCTTTTTCAATCCAAAGGGAAGAAATTTCCCAGGAAGAAAACAGAAATGGGACCACAGGCCTAATACAAGTCCAAAACCCAGAAGGCCAGTATCCATTCAATCTTACAGCTCCAAAGTCATGAAGAGAACTATCACAAGGACAGCAATAAGGAGATTGTTTAATCATTTGGGAAGGATCCGCCCCCCAACTCCAATTTTCACTCCTCACCCGCACCATAAATCCCCGATTCTCCCTACGCCCCATCTTCCAACACCCACTCTCCACCGTGATTAAATCACCTTCCACCAGGCCCCACCTTTAACATTCCAATGACAATTCCACATGAGTTTTGGTAGAGACACAGAGCTGAATTTTATTATTCTGTCCCTGGCTCCCAAAATCTCATGTCCTTCTCACGTTGCAAAATACAATGATGCCTTCCCTACAGTCTCCTAAAATCTTATAACATTACAGCATTTATACACATGTTCAAAGCTTAAAGTCTCATCTGGCATAAGGCTACAGTTGCTTAGGCCCATGAGCCTCTGAAATATAAAGCAAGTTAACTACTTCCAAGGTACAATGCTTGTACAGGCATTGGGTAAGCATTCCCAGCCAAAAGGAAGAATTTTGCCAGGAAAAAACAAAACACAGACAGGACTTACTGGCCGCATGAAACTCCAAACCCAGAAGGCCAGTCATTCAATCCTACAGCTCCAAAATCACCCTTTTTGAAACCCTGTCCCACATCCAGGGCACAGGGGTGTGAGGGCTGTGCCCCCAAGGCCTTGGGCAGCTTGGCACCTGTGTCTTTGCAGGGTTTATGCCCATGGCTGCCCTCATGGGCTTGGCTGGTGTTGAGTGCCTGTGACTTTTCCCCACGAAGGATACAAGTTGTTGGGTGTCTATGAATCTGTGGTCTGCATGATGGTGGCCTCCAGTGTGGAGGCTCCAACCCCATGTTTTCGTTCTGCACTGCTCTAGTAGAAGTTTCATATAATGCTCTGCCTTCTTGGGATGCTTTTGCCTGGACACCCAGGCATTTCCATACATCTTCCAAAATCTATGGAGAGGTTCCCAAGCCTCTAGTCTCATGCTCCGTCCACCAGTGGCTTAACACTATGAGGAACTTACCAAGGCTTCTAGCCGGCACCCTCTGTAGCAGTGACCCAAGCTGTACCTGTGCATCTTTCAGTCATGGCTGGAGCTGGAGCTGGAGCTGGAGCTGCAGGGATGCAGGCAGCAGTGTCCTGAGGCTGCACACAGAAGGGGGTCATGGAACTCCACCAGGAAACCATTCTTCTCTCCTAGGCCCCAGGGCCTGTAACAGCAAGGGCTGCTGCAAAGGTCTCTGAAATGCCCTCAAGGCCTTTTCCCTATTGTCTTGTCTATGAACACTGGGCTCCTTTTCAGGCAAGTTTCTGAAGCCTTCCTCAATTTTCCCCCTGAAAATCAGCTTTTCTTTTTGACCACATGGCCAGGCTGCAAATTTTCCAAACTTTTGAGTTCTGTTTCCCACGTAATGTAAGAGTTGGGACTCATTTAATGTAAGTCTCATCCAGAGGTCATTTCCTCCATCACACATAAGAGCACAGGCTGTTTGATGCAGACAGGACACCTCATGAGCTTTGCTGCCCAGTTCATTCCACCAGATACTCAGTAAATCATCACCCTCAACTTCAAAGTTTCACAGATCTCCAGGGCAAGGTCACCGTGCAGCCACGTTCTTTGCTAAGGAAACAAAAGTAACTTTGACTTCTGTTCCCAGTAAGTGCTTCATTTTCATCTGAGACCTTCTAAGTCGGGCTTTCACTGACCATTTTCCTGTGAGCCTTCTGATCACAAGTGTTTAACAATTCTTTACAAAGATCCAAACTTTCTTTCATCTTCTTGTCTCTGAAGCCCTCCAAACTCTCCCGACCTCTGTCCGCTACTCCCTTCTGAACCTGCTTCTACATTATCACTATCTTTGCACAGCCTGGCAATGTGGTAAAGGAAAACAAGTCCATTTTAAGGGGGAAAATTCATGAAGCCTTCACATACTTGAATGAAAAGAAGCTGAGTGCTGATTGCCAAGACAATGACATTTAATAGTTCCACTTTGCACTACTAATTTTCTCTATGATCATAAAGAAAAGAGGTTTAATTGGCTCATGATTCTGCAGGCCATAAGGAAACATAATGGCTTCTGAATCTGGGAGGACTCAGGAAGCCTTCCAATCATACCAGAATGTCCAGGGGCGATGAGATGATTCATGTGGCAGGAGTAGGCACAAGACAGACACAGGAGAGAGTGCCACACCCTATTATACAACCAGATCTCATGAGAACTCACTATCACAATGTCAGCATCATGAAGATGGTGCCTAAACATTGATGAAGGAACAACCACCCACCCCCAACTCCCACTATTTCTAAACAGAAGCCTGCTGCACAGGCAGAGCCTCTTGGAAAACCTCTACCAGGGAAGTGTGGAAGGAAAATATGGGCTTGAAGCCCCCATGCAGATGGCCACCAACCTCCAGACCCCAGATTCATAGACCCACCAACAGCTCACACCCTCTGTGGAAAAGCTACAGACACTCAACAACAGCCCAGTCCGTGAGAGCAGCTGCAGGGGCTAAACCCTGCAAACCCACAGGTGCTGTGTCCTAGTAGAAGTTTTCCATGAGGCTTTGCCTCTGCAGCAGGCTACTCCCCCTTCCTACTACCCCTCACCCTCCCACCATTCTACTGCCAACCTACTCCTCCCCACCCTAACCAACCCTTTTGTGATACCCTACCTTGTATTAACCTGGTCGACTCTCCCTTAGCTGACAGAGCCAGACAGACTCCATCTTGGCTCCTTCACTTGCAGCCCCTTACCCACCCCCCTTCCTCAAGGACTTAACTTGTGCAAGCTGACTCCCAGCACATCAAAGAACGCAATTCCTGATAAGATACTCTGGCAAGCTACATCCACAGTTCCCGCCCTTCGCCCGGTTGATAGTACCCAAAACCCCCACATTTGTGTCCAGTTGATAGCACCCAAAGCCCCCACATCTATCACATTTGGATGGATTTAAAGCCCCTGCACCTGGAACTGTTTGTTTTCCTGTAGCCATTTATCTTTTTAACTTTTTTGCCAGTTTTGCTGCTGTGAGATTCCTTCAGCTAGGCTCCCTGTCCCCCTTCTAAACCAAAGTATAAAAGAAAATCTAGCCCCTTCTTCCGGGCCAAGAGAATTTTGAGCACTAGCCGTCTCTCAGTTGCCGGCAATAAAGGTCTCCTGAAGTCGTCTCATGGTGTGGCATTTCTCTACAACTCACTCGGTTACAACCCTTTTCCTTCCACCCCAACCACCTCCAATCCATGATTAAATCATCTCCCCCAGGCGCTACCTTCAACATTTGGAATTACAATTCCACCTCAGTTTTTATAGGGACACACAGCCAAACCATATTATTCTGACCCTGATATTCCAGAATCTCATGTCCTTAACACAGAGCAAAATACCACCATGACTTCTCAAAAGTTTGCAAAAGTCTTAACTCATTCCAAATGTAAAAAATTAAGTCTCATATGAGACAACGCCACACAGTCCCTTCTGTCTATGAGTCCCTGAATTTAAAACGGAGTTCTTTTCTTTCAAGGTACAATGATGGTAGAGACATTGTGTAAGCTTTCTCAGTCCAAAGGGAAGAAATTTCCCAGAAAAATAACACAAATGGGCCCACAGGCCCAATGCAAGTCCAAAACCCAGCAGGGCAGTATTCACTCAATCTCTCAGCTCCAAAATCATCAAGAGAACTCACTATCATGTGAACAGCATTAAGGAGAGCGTGTTTATCCATTTGTGAAACATCTGCCCCCACCCTCATCTTTCACTCCCACCCACAAAATAATCTCCCCTATTCTCCCCACTCCCTTACCTCCAAACCCCATGCTTCTCCATGATTAAATCACCTCCCCCCAGGCCCCATTTTTAACATTCCCCATTATAATCCCACATGATTTTGGTAGGGATGCAGAGCCAAATCATGTTATTCTGACCCTGGCCCCCATATCTCATGTTCTTCTCACACTGCAAAATACAATGATGCCTTCTCTACAGTTTCCCAATGTCTTCACTCATTCCAGCATTTACTGAAATGTCCAAAGCCCAAAGTCTCTTCTGAGACAAGGCTGCAGTCCCTTCTGCCCCTGAGCCTCTGAAATACAAAGCAAGTTAACTTTTTCCAAGGTACAATGATTTTACAGGCATTGGGTAAATATTCCCAGCCGAAAGGAAAAAATTTGCCAGAAAGAATCACAAAACACTGTTGAGACTTACAGACACTGTGCAAGTCAAAAACCCAGCAGGACGGTAATTGAATCTTACAGCTCCAAATCATTTTTTTTTAATCCAGATCCCACATCCAGAGCACAAGGGTATGAGGCCTGGGCTCCCAAGGCCTTGGGCAGCTCTGCACCTGTGGCTTTGCAAGGTCTAACCTCCACAGTGGCTCTCATGGGCTGGGCTGGTGTTGAGTACCTGCAGCTTTTCCACAATGAGGGTGCAAGCTGTTAGAAAGTCTATGAATCTGGCCCTTGTGGAATGGTGCCTCCCTGTATGGGGGTTCCAACCCTATATGTTCCTTCTGTACTGCCCTAGTAAAGGAGGCTCTGCCTCTTGGAAAATTCTGACCTGGACACCCAGGTTTTTCCATATGTACTCTGGAGTCTAGACAAAGGATCCCCAGCTTCCAGTTTTGTGCTCTGCGCACCTGCTGGCTTAACACCATGTGGAAGCCACCAAAGCTTGCAGCTTGTGCCCTCTGAAGCAGTGACACAAGCTGTACCTGTGCATCTTTCAGCCATGGCTGAAGCTGGAGCTTCAGGAATGCAGCCAGCAGTGTCCTGAGGATGGACACAGCAGCTGGGCCACGGTGCTGGAGAAGGAAACCATTCTTTTCTCCCAGGCCTCAGGGCCTGTGATAGCAAGGGCTGCTGCAAAAGTCTCTGAAATGCCTTCAAGGCCTTTTTAACACTGTATTGGCTAATAGCACTGAACTCCATTTTATGCAAATTTCTGAAGACTTCTTGAACTTTCTCACTGACAATCAGCTTTTCTTTTTGACCACTTGGCCAGGCTGCAAGTTTTCCAAACTTTTAAATATGTTTCACCATGAGGTCATTTCTTTGGTCACATGTAGGACTACAGGCTGTTCAACACAGACAGGACACCTCTTAAGCTTTGCTGCCTAAAATTTCCTTCCACCAGATACACTCTAAATTATCACCCTGATGTTCAAAATTTCACAGGTCTCCAGGTTAGGGGCATCGTGCAGCAACGTTCTTTGCTAAGAAAAAAACAAAAGTGACCTTGCCTCCTGTTCCCAGCAAATTCCTCATTTTCATGTAAGACCTTCTAAGCCTGGTGATCACTGTCCATCCTTCTGCCACCTTTTTAATTACAACTATTTGACAAGTCTCTACACTGATCCAAACTTTTCCTCATCTTCCTGTCTTCTTCCAAGACCTCCAAACTCTCCAACCTCTGGCCATTACACACTTCTCAACCTGCTTCTACATTTTCAGCTACATGTGTCACAGCCTGGCAATGTGGTAAAAGAAGAAAAGTCCATTTCAGGAGAAAAATTAATGCAGGCTTCAGACATTTGCCTGAAAAGAAGCTGAGTGCTGATTGCCAAGACAATAAGGAAAAGGTCTTGAAGGCATTTCATAGCTCCACTTCACAGCACTAATTTTCTGTATAATCAGAAAGAAAAGAGGTTGAACTGGCTCATGGTTCTGCAAGCCTTAAATAAGTCATAGAGGCTGCTGCCTCTGGGAGGACTCAGGAAGCCTTCCAATCATACCAGAAGACCAAGCAGCAATGGGAAGTTTTATATGGCAGAAGTAGAAACAAGACAGAGAGAGGAAAAAGGTGCCACATGTGTGTATAAACCTGTTATACAACCAGATTTCCTGAGAACTCACTATCACAAGGTCAGCATCAAGAAGATGTTGCTTAACCACTGGTGAAAGATCTGCCCCCTGCCACCCCCACCCCCCACTGTTTCCAGGCAGAAGCCTGAGGCAGAGGCAGAGCCACTAGGAAAACCTCTACTAGGGCAGTGCAGAAAAAATATATGGGCTTGGAGGACCCACACAGGAGGTTACCAACCTCCAGACCCCAGATTCATAGACGCATCAGCAGCTTGCACTCTCAGTATGGAAAAGCTACAGGCACTCAACACCAGCCCAGCCCATGAGAGCAACCATGGGGCTAAAGCCTTCAAAGCCACAGGTGCACTGCCCTGGTATAGAGGTTTTCCATGAGCCTCTGCCTCTGCAGCAGGCTACGCCCCCTTTCTACTGCCCACCACCCTCTCACCACCCTACTGCCAGCCTATTCTTCCCCACCCTACCCACTTGCTTTTTTTCCACCCCTACCACTCTCCCGTTTTTGGTTAAAACACCTCCCACCAGACCCTACCTACAACAGTCAGGAATACAAGTCCCCATGAGTTTTTGTAGGGAAACACAGCCAAACCATATTATTCTGACCCTGACACCCCCACATCTCATGTCCTTCTCACATAGAAAAATACAAACATGCCTTTTCAAAAGTTTTGAAAAGTCTTAACTCACTCCAGCAGTAACTCAAATGTAGTAAGTTCAAGTCTCAACCAAGAGAAGGCTGCAATCCCTTCTGCCTATGAGTCCCTGAATGTAAAAGACAATTCTTTTCTTTCAAGTTACAATGATGGCACAGGCACTGGGTAAGCTTTCTCAATCCAAAGGGAAGATTTTCCCAGAAAAATAACACAAATGGGACACAGGCCCAATCCGAGTCCAAAACCCAGCAGGACAGCATTCATTTACCATGAGAACTCACTATCACACAGACTGCATTAAGGAGATAGTATTTGACCATTTGTGAAGGATCTGCCACCCATCCCCACGTTTCACCCCCACCCATACCATGCACCCCCATTCTCCCACATCCCCCTTCCAATCCCCATTCTCTACCATGATTAAATCACCTTCTACCAAGCCCCACATTTAACATTCCCCATTACAATTCCACATGAGTTTTGGTAGGGACACAGAGCCAAATCATATTATTCTCCCTTTGGCCCCCCAATCTCATGTCTTTCTCATACTGCAAAATACAATGATGCATTCTCTACAGTCCCCCAATGTCTGAACTCATTCCAGCATTTACTCAAATGTCCATTTGTGAAGGATCCACCCTCACCCCTGCCTTTCACCCCCAACCCCACCACAATCCCCCCAACCCTCCCCACCCCCCAATTCCCCCAACCCTCCCCACCCTCCCAACCGTCCAACCTCCACCCTCCACCATGATTAAATCACCTTCCACCAGCCCCCACCTTTAACATTTCCCATTAAAATTCCACATGAGTTTTGGTAGAGACACAGAGCCAAAACATATTATTCTGTCCCTGGTCCCCCAAAATTCATGTCTTTCTCACATTGCAAAATGCAATGATGCCTTCCCTAGAGTCCCCCAAGTCTTAACTCATCCCAGCATTTACTCAAATATCCAAAGCCCAAAGTCTCTTCTGAGAGAAGGCTGCCATATCTTTTGCCCCGAGCCTCTGAAATACAAAGCAAGATAACCACTTCCAAGGTGCAATGATTGTACAGGCATTGGGTAAGCATTCCCAGCCAAAAGGAAGAAATTTGCCAGAAAGAAGCACAAAACACAGATGGGACTTACAAACTCCCTGCAAGTCAAAAACCCGGCAGGCCAGTCATTCCATCATACAGCTCCAAATCATCTTTTTGGAATCTATGTCCACATCCAGAGCACAGGGTGCTGTGACAGCTGGGATCCCAAGGCCTTGGGCAGCTCTGCATCTGTGGCATTGCAGAATCTTTCCCCCACAGCTGCCCTCATTGGCTAGGCTGGTGTTGAGTGCCTGTAACTTTTAAACACTAAGGGTGCAAGCAGTTGGTGGGTCTATGAAACTGGGGTCTGCAAAATGGTGCCTCCCTGTGTGGGGACTCCAACCCTATACTCTCCTTCTGTACTGCCCCAGAAGAGGTTTACCATGAGGCTCTGCCTCTTGGAAAAGCTTCTGGCTTGACACTCAAGCTTTCCAATATATCCTCTGGATTCTAGATGAAGGATCTGAAGCTTGTAGTCCTGTGCTTTATGCACCTGCTGCCTTAACACTATGTGGAAGCCACCAAGGCTTGGAGCTTGCATCCTCTGAAGCAGTGACACAAGCTGTACCTGTGCATCTTTCATCCATGGCTGGAGCTGGAGATGGAGCTGCAGGGATGCAGGCAGCAGTGTCCTGAGGCTGCACACAGCAGTGGAGCCATGGGGTTGGGCCAGGAAACTATTCTTTTCTCCTAAGCCCCAGGGCCCGTGACAGCAAGGTCGGCCAAGAAGGTCTCTGAAATGCCTTCAAGGCCTTTTTCCCATTGTCTTGAATTATTGGCACTGGGATCCTTTTTATGCAAATATCCGAGGCCTTCTTGATTTTCCCCCTGAAAATCAGCTTTTCTTTTGGACCAGATTACAAATTTCCCCATTGTTGAAGCTCTGCTTGTCATTTAAATATAAGTTCCAACTTATGGTCATTTCTTTGATCACACATAGGTGCACAGGCTGTTCGATGTAGGCAGGACAACTCTTGAGCTTTGCTGCTTAGAAGTTCATTCCACCAGATACATCCTAAATCATCACCCTCAAGTTCAGTTTCACAGATCTCCCGGGAAGGGTCACTGTGTAGCCAATTACTTTGCTAAGGCAAAAGAAAAAAACCTTGGCTCCTGTTCCCAGTAAGTTCCTCATTTTCATCTGAGACCTTACAAACCTGGCCTTCACTGTCCATCCTTCTGTCAGCCTTTTAATCACAACTATTTAACAAGTCTCTGCAATGGTCCATACTTTCCCTCATCTTCCTGTCTTCTTCCAAGCTCTCCAAACTCTCGAACGTCTGGCCATTACCCAATTTGGAACCTGCTTCTACACTGTCAGCTATCTCTGTTGCAGCCTGGCAATGTGGTAAAAGAAAAGTCCATTATCAGGGGGAAACATCAAGAAGGCCTCCAATATCTGCATTGAGAAAAGCTCAGTGCTAATAGCCAAGAGATTGGGGGAAAGGCCTAGAAGTCATTTCATAGCTTCCCTTCACAACATTAATTTTCTGTATCTACATAAAGAAAATAGGTCTAATTGACTCACAGTTCTTCAGGCTGTAAAGAAAGCACAGTGGTTTCTGCTTGTAGGAGGACTCAGGAAGCCTCCCAATTATACCAGAAGGCCAAGCAGCAATGAAATGTTTCATATGGCAGGAGTAGAAGCAAGACAGAGAGAGGAAAGAGGTGCGACATCCTGTTATACAACTAGATCTCATGAGAGGTCAGTATCAGGAGATCAGCATCAAGAAGATGGTGCTTCACTGTTGGTGAAGGATCCGCCCACTATCCCATATCCACCACCCACTGTTTCCAAGCAGAAGCCTGAGGCAGAGGCAGATCCTCTTGGAAAACCTCTACTAGGGCAGTGCAGAAGGAATATATGGGCTTGGAGCCCCCATGACACCATCTTCCAGACCCAAGAGTCATAGACCCACCAACAGCTCACACCCCCAGTATGGAAAAGCTACAGGCACTCAACATCAGCCCAGCCCACGAGAGCAGCTACAGGTGCTAAACCCTGCAAAGCCACAGGTGCACTGCCTTAGTAGAGTTTTTCCACGAGCCTCTGCCTCTGCGGCAGGCTACTCCCCTCCTGCTACACACCACCCTACAGCCAGCTCACCCCTCCCAACCTTACCCACCTGTTTTTACTTCCAACCCCACCCCTGTCCCAACCATGAATAAATCACCTCCCACCAGGCCCCACCTGCAACATTCGGGATTACAATTACATGTGAGTTTAGGTAGGGACACACAGCTATACCTTATTATTCTGACCATGATCCCCCGAATATCATATCCTTCTCACAGAGTAAAATACAATCAGGCCTTTTCAAAAGATGTCGAAAGTCTTAAGTCATTTCAGCATTAACTCAAATGTAAAAAGTTCAACATCTCACCTGAGAAAAGGCTAAAGTCCCTTTTGCCTATAAGCTCCTGAATTTAAAAGGGAGTCCTTTTATTTCAAGGTACAATGATGATACAGGCATTTGGTAAGTTTTCTCAATCCAAAGGGGAGAGGTTTGCCAGGAAAATAACACAAATGGGATCACAGGGCCAATGCAAGTCCAAAACCCAGGAGGCCAGTATCCATTCAATCTCACGGCTCCAAAACCATCACGAGAACTCACCATCATGAGGAAAGGATTAAGGAGATGGTGTTTAACTATTTGTGAGGGATCCTCCACCCACCCCCACTTTTCACCACTCACCCCCACCATAATCCACCCATACTCCCCAATCTCCACCTTCCAACACCCAGTGCCCTCCACGATTAAATCACCTTCTACCTGGCCCCACTTTTAACATTTCTGATTACAACTCCACATGAGTTTCCATAGGGACACACAGCCAAATCTTATTATTCTGTCCCTGCCCCACAAATCTCATGTCCTTCTCACTTTGAAAATACAATGATGCCTTACTTACCATTCCCCAAGCCACTATGCTTTTTTTTTTACAGCCTGCAGAACCATGAGCCAATCAAACCCCTTTTTGTTATGATTATATAGAAAGTTAGTACTGTGAAGTGAAGCTATGAAATGCCTTCAATGACTTTTCCCCATCGTCTTGGCTAAGACCCACAAGGCCTTAACTCATTCCAGCATTTATTTAAATGTCTGAAGCCCAAAGTCCCATCTGAGACAAAGATGTGGTCCCTTCTGCTCCTGAGCCTCTGAAATACAAAGCAAGTTAACTACTTCCAAGGTATGATTGTCCAGACATTGAGTAAGAATTCCCAACCAAAAGGAAGATTTTTGCCAGAGAAGAACAAAACACAAACGGGACTTACAGGTCCCATGAAAATCTAAAACCCAGCAGGCCACTTATTCAAACCTACAGCTCCAAAGTCATCCTTTTTTAATCCTTGTCCCACCTCCAGGGCACAAGGGTATGAGGGCTGGGTTCCCAAGGCCTTGGGCAGCTCTCTACCTGTGGCTTTGCAGTGTTCAGTCCCCACAGCTGCCCTCATGGGCTGTGCTGGTGTTGACTGCCTGTAGTTTTTACCCACAGAGGGTACAAAGTTCTTGGTGGGTCTATGAATCTGGGGTCTGCATGATGCTGGCCTCCAGTGTGGGGACTCCAAGCCCATATTTTCCTTCTGCACTGCCCTAGTACAGGTTTCCCAGGAGGTTCTGCTTTTTTGGCAGCCTTCTGTCTGGACACCCAGGCATTTTCATACATCTTCCGAAATCTACATGAGGGCTCCGAAGCCTCTGGGCTAGTGCTCTGTGCACCCGCGGGCTTAACACTATGTGGAAGCCATGGAGCCTTATAGCCTGTACCCTCTGAAGCAGTGATGCAATCTGTACCCGTGCATCTTTCAGCCAAAGTCGGAGCAGGAGCTTGGGCTGCAGGGATGCAGGCAGCAGTGTCCTGAGGCTGCACACAGCAGCAGGATCATGGGGCTGGCCCAGGAAACCATTCTTCTCTCCTAGGCCCCAGGGCCTGTGACAGCAAGGGCTACTGCAAACATCTCTGAAATGCCTCCAAGGCTTTTTTCCCCCATTGTCTTGGCTATTAGCACTGGCCTCCATTTTCTGCAAGTTTCTGGCGCCTTCATGAATTTTCCCCCAGAAAATCAGCTTTTCTTTTTGACCACTTGGCCAGGCTGCAGATGTTCCAAACTTTTGAGCTCTGCTTGTCATTTAAATATAAGTTCCAACTTGAGGTCATTTCCTCGGTCACACATAACCTCGGTCACACATAAACTCGGTCACACATGAGAGCACAGGCTGTTTGATGCAGACAGGCCCTCCCCCCACCCCTTGTGCTATGCTGCCTAGAAGTACATTCCACCAGATATGCACTAAATCATCACCCTCGAGTTCAAAGTTTCACAGATCTTGAGGGCAAGTTCGCCCTTCAGCCGTGTTCTTTGCTACAGCAAAACAAAAGGTAACCTTGGCTCCTGTTCCCAGTAAGTTCCTCATTTTCATCTGACACCTTGTAAGCCTGGCCTTCACTGTCCATCCTTCTGCCAGCCTTTTAATCACAACTATTTAACAAGTGCCTACAGTGGTCCAAATTTTCCTTCTTCTCCCTGTCTTCTTTCAAGATCTCCAAACTCTCCAACCTCTGGCTGTTACCCACTTCTGAACCTGCTTTACATTTTCAGCTATCTTTGTTGCAGCCTGGCAATGCAGAAGAAAAAGAAGTCCATTTTCAGGGGGAAACTTCAAGAAGCCTTCAGATATTTGCATTAAAAAGAAGTCCAGTGCTAATAGCCAAGACGATGGGGAAATGTCATTGAAGATATTTCATAGCTCCACTTCGCAGTACTTTATTTTCTGTATGATCATAATGAAAAGGGGTTTAATTGGCTCATGGTTCTGCAGGCTGTAAAGAAAGCATAGTGGCTTCTGCTTCTGGGAGGACTCAGGAAGCCTCCCAATCATACCAGTAGGAAAACAGCAATGAAATGTTTCATACAGCAGGAGTAGGAGCAAGGCTGAGAGAGGAAAGACGTGCCACACCGTCCTATAACCAGATCTCATGAGAACTCACTATCACTAGGTCAGCATCAAGAAGATGGTGCTTAACCATTGGTGAAGGATCCGCACCCCAACACAGCTCCACCCCCTACCGTTCCAGACAGAAACCTGCTGCAGAGGCAGAGGCTCTTGGAAATCCTGTACTATGGCAGTGCAGAAGGAAAATAAGGGCTTTGAGTGACTATGCAGGAGGCCACCATCCTCTACACCCCAGATTCGTACACCTACCAACAGTTCACACCCTCAGTATGGAAAAGTGATAGGCACTCAATACCAGCCAAGCCCATGAGAGTAGCCATGGGGGCTAAAGCCTGCCAAGCCACAGGCCCACTGCCCTGGTAGAGGTTTTCCATGAACCGCTGCCTCTGCAGCAGGCTACTCCCCCTTCCTACTACCCACCACCCTCCCACCACCCTACAGCCAGCCTACTCTTCCCCACCCTACTCACCCCTTTTTTCTTCCACCCATACCCCTCCCATCCATGATTAAATAATCTCACACCAGGCCTCACTTCCAACATTTGGGATTACAATTCCACATGAGTTTTTCCAGGGGCACATAGCCAAATCATATTATGCTGACCTTGACCCCCCCAAATCTCATATCCTTCTCACAGAATAAAATATAATCGTGCCTTTTCAAAGTTTCCAAAAGCCCTAACTCATTCCTGCATTAACTCAAGTGTAAAAAGTTCAAAGTCTCATCTGAGACAAGGCTACAGTCTCTTCTGCCTATGAGTCCCTGAAGTTAAAAGGGTGTTCGTTTCTTTCAAGGTACAATGATGGTACAGATATTGGGTAAGCTTTCTCAATCCAAAGGGAAGAAATTTCCAAGAACAATAACACAAATGGGACCACAGGCCCAACGGACATCCAAAATCCCGCAGGTCAGTGTTCATTCAATCTCACAGCTCCAAAATCATGAAGAGAACTCACTATCAGAAGGACGGCATTAAGGAGATGGTGTTCAACCATTTGTGAAGGATGCACCCCCACCCCTGCCTTACACCCCCAACCCCACCACAATCCCCTCCAACCCTCCCCACCACCCACTCCACCCCAACCCTCCCAACCCCCTCAACCATCCAACCTCCACTCTCCATCATGTTTAAATCACCTACCAGCCCCCACCTTTAACATTTCCCATTAACCTTCCGCTTGAACTTTGGTAGAGACAGAGAGCCAAAACATATTATTCTGTCCCTGGTCCTCTAAAGTTCATGTCTTTCTCACATTGCAAAATGCAATGATGCCTTCCCTAGAGTCTCTCAAATCTTAACTCATTCCAGCATTTACTCAAATGCCCAAAGCCCAGCGTATTATCTGAGACAAGTCTACACTCCCTTCTGCCCATGAGCCACTGAATTATAAAGCAAGTTTACTACTTCCAAGGTAAATGATTGTACAGGCAATGGGTAAGCATTCCCAGGCAACAGAAAAAAAATTGCTAGAAAGAAGCACAAAACACAGATGGGACTCATAGGATACATAAGTGTCCAAAACCCAGCAGGCCGGTCACTCAATCCTACAGCTCCAAAATCATCGTTTTTGAATCCTTGTCCCACATCCATGGCACAGGGCTGTGAGAGCTGAGCTCCCAAGGCCTTGGGCAGATCTGACCTGTGGCTTGGCAGCGTTCAGCCTCCGCGGCTGCCTCTCATGGACAGGGCTGTTGTTGAGTGCCCATAGCTTTTCCACACTGAGGGTGCAAGCTGTTTGTAGGTCTATGAATCTGGGGTTTGGAGATTGATGCATCCTTCTGTTGGGGCTTCAACCCTATAAGTCTCTTCTTTGCTCCCCTAGTAGAGGTTCCCCATGAGGTTCTGCCTCTTGGAAAAGCTTCTTCCTGGACATCCAGGATTTTCTGTACATCTTCTGGAGTCTAGACAGGAGCTCCCAAGCCTCTAGTCTCTTTCTCTGTGCACCTACTGGCTTAACACTATGTGGAAACAATCAAGGCTTTGCGCCACCTCTGAAGCAGTGACCCAAGCTGTACCTGTGCATCTTTCAGCCATGGCTGGTGCTGGAGCTGCAGGGATGCAGGCAGCAGTGCCCTGTGGTTAAGCACAGCAGCAGGGCCATGGGACTGGCCCAGGAAACCATTCTTCTCTCCTAGGCCCCACGGTCTGTGACAGCAAGGGCTGCTGCAGAGGTCTCTAAAATACCTTCAAGGCCAGTTTCCCACTGTCTTGGCTGTTTGCACTGTGTTCCTTTTTATGCAAATAACCTAAGCCTTCTTGAATTTTCCCCCTCAAAATCGGCTTTTCTTTTTGACCACTTGGCCAGGCTCCAAATTTTCCAAATTTTAGATCTCCACTTGAAGTTCCAACTTGAAGTTATTTCTTAGGTCACACATAAGAACACAGGCTGTTCAATGCAGACAGGACACCTCTTGTGCTATGCTGCCTAGATGTTCATTTCACCAGATACTTCCTAAATCATCACCCCCAAGTTCATAGTTTCACAGATCTCCAGGGCAGGGTCCCTGTGCTGCCACGTCCTTTGCTAAGGCCAATCAAATGTAATCTTGGCCCCTGTTCATAGGAAATTCCTCATTTTCATCTGAGAACTTTTAAGTCTGGACTTCAGTGTTTACCCTTTTCTCAGCCTTCTGATCACAAGTATTTAACAATTCTCTATAGTGGTCCAATATTTTCCTCATCTTGTTGTCTTCTAAGCTTTCCCAACTCTTCCTACCTCTGTCTTTTACCCACTTCTGAACCTGGTTCTACATTGTCAGCTATCTTTATCACAGCCTGGCAATGTGGTAAAAGAGAAAAGTCCATTTTCAGGGGGAAAATTCACAAAGGCTTCAGATATTTCCATGAAAAGAAGCTGAGTGCTGGTTGCCAAGACAAAGGGGAAAGGGCCTTGAAGGCATTTCGTGGCTCCATTTCACAGCACTAATTTTCTGTATGATCAAAAGAAAAGAGGTTTAATTGGCTCATGGTTCAGCAGGCTGTAAAGGAAGCATAGTGGCTTCTGCTTCTGGGAGGATCAGGAAGCCTCCCAATCATACCAGAAGGCCAAGGGGCAAGGAGATGTTTCATATGGCAGGAGTAGAAGCAAGACTGAGAGAGGAAAGAGGTGCCACACCCTGTTATATAACCAGATCTCATGAGAACACACTATCATGAGGACAGCATCAAGAAGATGCTGCCTAACCATTGGTGAAGGATCTGCCTCCCACCCCCACCTCCCAATGTTTCCAGGCAGAAGCCTGCTGCAGACGCAGAGTTCTTGGGATACCTCTACTAGGGCAGTGCATTAGGAAAAAATGGACTTGGAGCCCCCACACAGGGGACTACCACCCTCCAGACCCCAGATTCATAGACCCACCAACAGCTTGCACCCTCCGTGTGGAAAAGCTACAGGCACTCAACACTAGTCCAGTCCATGAGAGCAGCCATGGGTCTCAAACCTGCAAAGCCACAGGTGCACTGCCCTAGTAGGGGTTTTCCATGAGGCTCTGCCTCTGCAGCAGGCTACTCCCCCTTCCTACTACCCACCACCCTCCCACCACCCTACAGCCAGTCTACTCCCTCCCACCGTACCCACCCCTTTTTCCCTTCCACATCCACCCCCACCCATGATTAAATCACTCCCTCCCACTCCATCTCATACTCTTATCCCTCCAAACCCTTCCAATATTTGTTTGCTACCCACTACTGAGCCTGCTTCTACTTTTTCAGGTATCTATATAGCAGGTTGGCTATGTAGCAATAACAAAAATCCCATTTAAGGGGAAAAATTCAAGATTTCAGAAATTTGCTTATAAAGAAGCCCTGTGCTAATAGCCAAGACAAAGGAAAAAAGGCCTTGAAGACATTTCACAGCTCCTCTCTGCAGTTCTAATTTTCTGTATTATTGTAAATAAAAGAGGTGTAATTGACTCATGGTTCTGCAAGCTGTGAAGGAAGCATAGTGTCTTCTGTTTCTGGGAGGAATCAGGAAGCCTCCTCATTATATCAGAAAGCCAAGGGAAAATGAGATGCCTCCTAAAGCAGGAGCAGGAGGAAGACAGAGTGAGGAAAGAGGTTCCACAGCCTGTTAAGGAATCAGATCTCATGAGAACTCACTCACTATCAGGAGGTGATGGTCCTTTATCAAGGTGATGGTCCTTTATCATTCGTGAAGGATCTACCTGCACCATTTTATGACTAAATCTTTTTCCACCTAGGCCCCGCCTCTGACATCACAGAATATAATTCCACATGAGTTTTGGTAGGGACATAGAGAAAAACCATATTATTCTGTCCCTGACCCCACGAATCTCATATCCTTCTCACATTGCAAAATACAATCATGCCTTGCCAGCAGTCTCCCAAAGTCTTAACTCACTTCAGCATTAACTCAAAGTTACAAAGTCCAAAGTGTCATCTGGGTCAAGGCTACAGTCTCTTTTGCCTATGAGTCTCTGAAACAAAAAGCAAGTTCACTGCTTCTAAGGTACAATGATGGTACAGGCATTGTGTAAGCTTTCCATATCCAAAAGGAAGACATTTTCCAGAAAGCTTCTTATTTCTCTCTGAGACCTCTTCAGCCTGGCCTTCACTGTCCATGTTTCTGTCAGGATTTTTTGTCACAACCATTGAACCAGTCTCTAGGATGGTCCAAAAGTTTTCTATCTGTCTTTTTTTGAGCCCTCCAAATTCTTCCAACCTCCATCCATTACCTGGTTCCAAAGCTGCTTCCACATTTCCAGGTATCTTTATAACAATGCTCCAGTCTTCATTTGCCATTTTCTGTAGATTTATTTTGAAAAAGAGATTTAATTGTCTCATGGTTCTAAGCACAGTGCTTCTGCTTCTAGGAGGCCTCAGAAATCTTTCAATAATCATGGAAGGCAAAGGAAGAATCAGCTGTCTCACATGGCAAGGGGAAAACAGAGAGTAGGGATGTGACATAGTTTTCAGTGGCCAGATTTCATGAGAAGTCACTCATTATTGTGAGGATGGTACAAGGGCATGGTGCTGAACCATTCATGAGAAATTTGCCTTCATAATTCAATCACCTTATAGCAGGATCCACCTTCCACATTAGGAAATATAACTCAACATGAGATTCGGTGTGGACACATATTCGAATTGCATCATCAATCTTTGAATATAAAGACATCCACAGCAGGCTTTATCCAGCCAACTTCTTTGAGACTCTTTATAGGGTTTGAGGTCTAGAGCATATACACTAAAATATTCATACTTCAAAAAGCAATAAAGTGGTATTATCATTTTTCCAAAAGTTACAGCGGTAGTTTAGGCATTCATAGCATGATTTAGTTCACATTTGCTACTGTTTCTATTCTATCACGATATTAACTGTTTCCTATACAATTCTGTATTCAGCTGGATTTCAGTTGAGCACAAAACCATCCTTCTACTAGCTCTTTGCTAGTGTTATTATTCTGCTGTAGAAAGTATCCTTGAACTGGAAACAGCCCACAATGGAGTATCAAGTCATTCAACACTATCAATTCCTGGGTGACTTTTTGAAAAAGTAGTATCTCTTGTTGCAAGAAATGCTGCATCTGTGAGTCCATGTCTCTCACTGGAATTGGATGGAAGTGGTGAATTTCAGCCAAAGTGGCCAAAGAAATGCTGTTCCTGTGATTCTGACATCATCAGCCTCTGCACCTCTATCTTCCCTTCTGCCACTTGTTGTCTGCTCTCCGTGACTTTTGTAAGAGCTTCCTTGTGTATGTGGACGATGTCCAGGATGTTGGTCTGGTGTCCCTGAGAAAGCACTAACAGGTCCATGGCTGGGTCCAGGTCCTGCCTGGACTGATTGGCAAAGACCTCACTGACAGTGTGGAAGGCATCTATACTGAAGTGAATGGCCTGGTCCAGCTCCAAGGCCTGGCTGAGGCTGAAGAACTGGCAGCCTTCTGATGCTCTTTCTTAAAGCCTGTCACCACTCATTGGCTGTGAAGTTGAGGTGAGTGCCCTGTTGTCCATCTTCTTGGTGAAGCACTTGAAGCCATCAATCTTGCTCTCCCACTCTAAAGGTTGAGTGTCGCCCTGGGGGTGGGCTCAGGGCCAGGAAGAATCTGGCACTCACCAACTCATCCTTCTCAGCCTTCCTCTTGCCCTGTCTCCAGGCTGTCTCTTTGGTGCTGGTGGGGCGCATCAGGAAGTGACAAAAAATGTGGCACTGTGCCTGCATCCAGAAGCTGGCCGTGTGGTTCATCCACCAGATTGGGCCCTTTCTGCACTTGAACATAGACACCACTTCACCATAGATGCCTTCCACACTGTCAGTGAGCTCTTTGCCAATCAGCCCAGGCAGGACCTGGACCCAGTCATGGACCTGTTAATGCTGTCTCAGGGACACCAGGCCAACATCCTGGACATCATCCACATACCCAAGTAAGCTCTTACCAGAGTCCTTCTCAAGATGGCCTGTGGTCTGCCTCTTGGCATCCAAGAAGCCCACGGTGCTGTAGAAGCCCTGATGCATGGAATGGAGCCCGAAAGGCAGCGCACACCCCGCTCCTGAGCCTGCTGCTCATTTCCTCTATGTGGCTCCATTTGCAGCACATTTGTTGCATTGAGGTCTGTGCACGCCAGGCAAGGCCAAGCTGACTCAAAGAGCAACCAGCCACCTCTGCAAGGGTGTGCCAGGAGCCGGTGGACCAGCCACCAACCTCACTCCCTGCCAGTCAGGGTAAATCAGTTATTCTGCCCTGGAGGTAGAGCCCCAGTGCCATCTGCTTTTCCTCAGGCCTCCACTCCATCAGCTGTCAGGTGGTGGTCACTCAGGCTGTGGGAACCTGGCCATCCCTGTTTCCTTTGAGTGGGGGAGGTTGGTGGCTGGTCCACCTGCTCCTGGCACACCCTTGCAGAGGTAGCTTGTTGCTCTTTGAGCCAGCTTGGCCTCTCCTGGCATACACAGGTCCCGGGTACTGACAAGCTGCTCCGAGTGAGTTTGTCTTCTCTTGGGCCAAATTCTAAGTCTGGCCAGGGCCACAGAAGGCCAAGTCCCCTGGGTGGTAATCCTGGCTGCTGCAGGGGGGCCTATGGGGCCCCTCCCCTCCCAGGGCTCAGGATGAGGTCCAACTGGGACAGGATGCTTTAGGTATGGGACTTGTGCCCCAGGAGGGGGCCTCTGTCACACAGGTTGGGTGAGAAGATGTATGGCATGCTGCTGGCTGCCAGGGCTGTTGGGATGCACGTTCACCCTTCCCTTCAGGGACCTCAAAGTGACCAGCTTCCCCTTTAAGAATGACTTCCCAAGGCCCAGGAGCCATCTGGGGCTGCAGAGCAGCTGGCCGCATGCTGCCCTGGCTTCTTCCATGTTGTGCTGGTCACTACCCACCAAGGGGGTTCAGACGCAGGCACGATGCAGGACGGTTGTCTCTGAACCTGCGTCTTGGTTATCATGGAGCTGGACTGGGCCTGGTGACAGGGCCCTGATGGGGTTGTCCTGGGTGGTCACGGGGGTGATGAGAAAAATGCAGAATGGAATTGCTGCGAGGATGGATGAGACGACCGTCAGCACAGAACAGACACCCGGTGAGTGTTCAGGGATTCCCCTCAGTAGCTGCCCAGAGGCCAAAACCACCCACCTCATAGTGACTGTCCCCAAGCCAGGAGGAAGAGAAGAGAGCAGGTCCCACTCACCTGAGTCAGTGAGCTGTGTTGAGATGTGCCTCTCATCTAGAAAACGGTCCTTCACACAGAGCCACTCACAGACACTGCTGTGTGTCTCTAACTGCTCCACAACACAGAGGCGATGGGAACTCAGCAACAGTGACATTGTTGGGTGACACAACCCACCACAATGGAAGCCTGCTTGGGTCAACAGGGCCCAGAGTCAGTGTCCTCTATCCCCTGAACTGACATGTGTGCATGCAATGTGTTTGTGTATGCATGTGTGCCTGTGTGTGCGCACATATGTGTGTGTTTGTCTTACTTCTCTGGACAGGCCTAGCTTCTCCACTCATGGGTGCACCCAGGTCCTCATCACTGTCACCTTAGAGCATTAGAGCCTCTATAGGTGCTCCCCAATCTCTGTCCTCCCCACCCATGGTGGTCCTGGGGATGCAGACAGAGGAGGGGCACTGCATAATGCTGAGAGGGCTGGCACCCTCTCTAGGTGGAACACAGGTAATTTGTAAAGTTGTAGGTCTGCCAAACAGTATTGTATTCAACACATCTTCTCACCTTCTCTTTCCAGCCACCCTCCAGGGTGCCCTGACTCACCTTCCCTGCAGATGGAGGTGAGGTTCCACAGACAAACCCCCTGAGGTCACACAGTGGCCAGCGGGCCAGGTACTGACCAACCGCCGCTGACCAGGTTCCCAGTGATGGGGCCCCTAATGACCACTCCTCCATTGACCAGGTCCCACTGATCAAGTCCCCACTGACCATGTCTTCCTAACCAGGCCCGCACTTAATAGGCCTCATGGGCCAGACTCCACTGACCAATTTTCCACTGACCTGGTCCCCAGTGACAAGACCAGGTTCCCACTGACAAGACCACTATTTACCAGGTTGCTGCTCACCCGACCCCCCACTGAACAATTCTCCATGGATGAGTCCCCAGCTGACCAAGCCACCTCTGACCAGGCCCTCACTGACCAGGCTCCAAGCCACCAAGGTCCCACACTGACCAGGCCCCTGGTATACTGTATATGCCCCACAAACCAGTTTTTCATTGTTTATGTTCCAACCAATCAGGCCCCACTAGTAAGGCCACCACTGATGAGGTACCCCCCACTGACCAGGCTTCCAATGACTAGGTCACCAGGTCCCCACTGATGAGGCCTTTACTGAGGAGCCCACCACTAACCAGGCGCCTGCTGATGAGGTCCCAAATGACTAGGTCCTGATGACCAGGTCACCTCTGACCATGGTCCACTGACCAGGCCCCTGAGCAGCCGTGCTCAAAGTCTTATTACAATGTCCCCCTCAGCTCACAGACCCTCCCTCCCTGCATATGTGCCCAGAGGTCAGGCCCTGGGGTTTTTTTTGGGAAATGGCCTTTCCTCCAAGACACAGGGAGAGACAGTCGGCCTCAGGCTCCAGGTTTCCAGCTCCACACTCACCCCAAAGGCCCTCTGGGCCCATCTCAAAGGAGACAGTGAGGTGGCCTGGCACTGCCTGGACACGCCATCTACCCTATTCCTGAGTGTCAGAGTGTTAGGAAGGGAGGGACATTTGGCAGATGAGACACACTGTGCTGTTGGGTCTCTCAGGGCCCTTCCCACAGAGCCCCGATCTAAAGACACAGCACAGAGGCTACAGGAAGACTAATCCAGAACCTCTGAGGCTGAGCCAGGGACCACATGAGGACTGTCCCCAGAGAGCCAGAAGGCCCTTTGCTAGTTTCTTGGTACCTCAGTGGATGCGGCAGCTGTTCTTCTGTTGGGGACCAGTGAGTACACGCTGGGGAGGGCTCGCCTGTGCTTCCTCAGTGGCTCCACCTCTGCTTCTAAAAAAAATGACTCATTCCAGCGCTGGGGCAGAGAAAATACACGATGAGCTGAGAACACCTTGTGCCAGAAAGTAAAAAAGTGCTGACAGAGTAATGGAGACAAATCAAAAACACATCAAGTCGGCTTGGAATGTCTACCACTGGCCTAATCTTGGGGAATTGGAGCATCAGAATCATGAGCTTTCCTTCTCCCTTATTTATTGGTTTTATTTCTCCATGTAGAACAAAGAAGAGAATAAGAAAATAATCATCTGGCAACCATCATAGTAATAATTGTTCAAACACAAGTCATCCATGAAATGCTAAATCTAGTGGGTTCTGAGGAATAACCAGATATTTACAGAGCCTCAAAGTATCTCCATACAAAATATAGTTGAACTACAAAAACAAAATCGTAGCGTTAGCATGGACAAACCTGGCAGGTACTCCTTAAGTCTCCTAAGTAATAAAAACTGTAAACTGCAAATAAGCCTTCGATGACCTTTACTAACCTTTATTAAAGTATCAATGATGACTTGGTTGTTTAAACAGCTGATATTTGGGCAATTTGAGTATGTCAAACTCAATAATACTTGTTTTCATTTGCAAGAGCCACTTAAAACTTAAGGAGGCTAAAAAACATCATTTAAAATACCCTATAAATTATCATCGTACATATGATACAAAAATATCCTACTTCAGTAAATATTGTAATGTTATATATTTTATGAGAAACAATTAAAATGTGTAAATAGCCCAGTAATAAAGTTTTATAATCTTTTAAATCATACAATTTTTCCTTAAAACTTTATGGTTAAATATTCTCTTCATTAGATGTGGCTTACCAGTGGATTCTAGAGAAGAAAATAGATGGGAGCAAGTGTCCAACACAGCAACAGCTAGAAAGAAAAATAAAGAATTATGTCCTTTAAATAAAACACTTCAGTTAACTAAGTGTGAGTTTAAAAACTAAAGAGTTGTGAACTTTATCAGAGTTAATAAGTATGAGAAATATGTATGTACATTTACGATACAAAATTACTATTTAATAATTTAACATGGCATTAATTCTAATTGTGTTTAAATATCAGAGCTTTTTCATTCTTCATTCATGTAATCAACAGCCATGTGCCAAGGTACTAGAACCAGCACTGGAATTACAAGATGAAGATGGTGTGGTCCACCTCTCAACAGTCATATGCCATAGCCTAAAAAAACAGACAGGCAGGTAATGTCCATATAGAGTCATAGATACCATGACAGATATACAGCAGGGCACTACTGGAACACACAGAAGGGACACCTACCCACTTTTATGTCAATATCATGGGCTTTCTGATGGAGGAGATAACATAGGTTGATACCTGAAGGACAAGGAAAAGCTTGCCAGATAGAGGGAAGAGGCGAAGGCAAAGAGCCTGAGGTGAGGAAGAGCCCTGCAGAGTTCCCCTCCATCCAGTTTGGGCTAGAGCAAAGGGCAGAGTGCAGTAAGTGGTGAGAGACAAGGCTGAGTAACTTGACAAGAATTACATTGACATGGGTGTTTTTATTTCATGGTGAAAAATCTGGAATGTTTCCTGAGAACAAGTGTAAGCCAATGACACAGTAAATGACAGGAGATTTAAAATGTCACCTGTCAAGTGACTGCTTATGAAGGGTTATTGCTCAACTAAGCATTTCTGAATGAGTCTGAGGTCTGTTGGCCTTCAATTTCTACCAAAACCCTGAGAACTTGATGATGCCTGTGTTTTCTGAGAATCGTTTCAGTGTGCTGGCTGACAGTTCCATGAGGATGGCAAAACTTAAGAAAGTGTAGAGCCAGTGAAAAAGAGATGCACAGACTTCTTGGGAATTTTTTAAGCTACAGAACATGATGAATTTATGGTGCATAAGTACAGTCTTCTCTGTGAAAGTTTTTGTTCTCACATCTTTCATTAGATGTGTGTAAGAAAAAAATACTTGACGTAGTATCTACTAACCCAAGAATGAAAAGGAATGCCATTTGCTATTTACACTTTATTTCTAAAATAAACCTAAATTTAATTTAAAAATTTTGGCAACATACTTCTCTTTGTTTCTCTAATTATTTGTTCTACACAGTCCAGCTCCACCTAAAATAAGTAAAAATAATAATAATGTTTAAGTTAAACAAGAAACATTATCATGAAAATAATGTATCATTTACAAAATGTGGCCTTTAGTATTTTTAGTGACTAGACATAACTTGAAGTTTGCTTAAATAGAAAAATAATCACATAAATAAATTAAAATTTCTACTTATTTTAAGTTTAGATAACAGAGGATGTATATGTGTAATGCTGTTTAGAGTAATCGGACAAAAATACAGTTAATATTGATCTATTGCATTACATGATTTTAGAAAGGTAGTGTTTTATTAGTACAAAGGTTAAACAATGGCCAGGCATGGTGGCTCATACTGTAATCCCAGCACTTGGGGAGGCCAAAGCAGGCAGATCACAAGGTCAGAAGATGGTGACCATCCTGGCCAACGTGGGGAAACCCCATCTCTACTAAAAATACAAAAATTAGCTGGGCGTGGTGATGTGAACCTGTAGTCCCAGCTACTTGGGAGGCTAAGGCAGGAGAATTGCTTGAAGCCAGGAGATGGAGGTTGCAGTGAGCCAAGACTGCACCACTGCACTCCAGCCTGGTGACAGAGTGAGACCCTGTCTCAAAAAAAAAATAATAATTAAGTAATTAAAGCCATCTTTTGCAATGAATGCATTGCTTTGAAATTCTTAGAAAACTCTGCCCTTTATAAAAGTTTAATCCATTTTTTACTTTAATAAATTTTAACTTAAAAAGAAATTTCTATTCTCTACTTATAGTAAACTTTTCTTTCTTTTTTTTTTTTAGTTTGTATTCTAAATTAAGGTGGTACCTCCGTAGGATTCTTCCAAAGGCATATTGAGGGATGCCGAGGTTTGCAGTACAATTGAGCCCATCACACAGGTAGTGAGCGTAGGACCCAGTAAGTAGTTTTTCAACCCTGGCCCACTCTGTCCCTCCCTGCTCTTATTTCCTAGTGTCTATTATTCCCATGTTTATGACAATGTGCACCCAATGTGTAGCTTCCACATGAGTGAAAACATGAGATACTTGGTTTCTGTTTCTGCATTGGTTTGCTTAGGAGAGTGGATTCCAGCTGTATCCATGTTGCTGCAAATGATGTGATTTTGTTCTTTTTATGGCTGCTTAGTATTCCATGGTATATATGGAATTTTCCAATCTACCTTGGATTTTCAATCTACCTTGGATGCACCTGGATTGACTCCATGTCTTTGCTATTGTGAATAGTGCTGCAATGAACATACATGTGCATGCATCTTTTTGTTACAATGATTTATTGTCCTTTCAGTATACCCCCAGTATAGTAATGGGGTTGCTGCATCCAACGGTTATTCTTAGTTCTTAATTTCCAAACTGCTGTCCATAGTAGCTGAATTAATTTACATTGCCACAAACAGTGTGTGTTCCCTCTTCTCCACAGCCTCCCCAACATCTTTTTTTTTTTTTTTTCAACAAAAGTCATTCTGACTGGTGTGAAATGGTATCTCACTGATGTTTTGTTTGGCATTTTTCTGATGATTAGCAATGGTAAGCATTTGTTAATGTTTGTTGGCCACTTACATGTGTTATTTTGAGAAGTGTCTGTTCATGTCCTTTGCCCATTTTTAATGGTGTTATTTATTTTTTGCTTGTTGATTTGTTTAGGTCTCTTATAGATTCTGGATAATAGGATAATAGGCATTTGCTATACCCATAGTTTGTGAATATTTTCTTCCATTCTTTAGGCTGTCTGTTTAATCCCGTGATACTTTCTCGTGCTGTGCAGAAGCTCTTTAGCTAAATTAGATGACACTTGTCAATTTTTGTTATTCTTGCAATTGCTTTTGAGGACTTAGCCATAAATTGACAAATATGATGTCTAGAAGAGTATTTCCTAGGTTTTCTTCCAGGATTTTTATAGTCAGAAGATGTACTCTTATGTAAGAAAAGCACAAGCCTTTTTTTTTTTTTTTTTTAAGACGGAGTCTCCATCACCCAGGCTATAGTGCAGTGGTATGATCTTGGCTTACTGCAACCTCTGTCTCCTGGGTTCAAGTGATTCTCCTGCCTCAGCCTCCTGAGTATCTGAGATTACACACGCCTGCCAACATGCCTTGCTAATTTTTGTATTTTTACTAGAGACAGGTTTCATCATGTTGACCAGGCTGGTCTCAAACTCCTGACCTCAGGTGATTCACGTGCCTCGGCCTCCCCAAATTTTGGGATTACAAGTGTGAGCCACTGCGCCTGGCCAAGCACAAAGCTTTTAACATAAAAATGGAAATGAACATTTTAGTGTTTGGTTTAATTCATAAAATGCAATTATTTTGGATTCTACTAAATAATAAACATCCATATGTGGTAAAGTGTTTGGATGCCAATCATTCAGTTGTGATTATGGGTGGGAAGAGTTGAGATGGTGCAAATAAACTTTTTTTTAATTTTTTATTTTCAAGATGGAGTCTTGCCCTGTCACCCAGGCTGGAGTGCAGTGGTGCGATCTCAGCTCCTGCAACCTCTGTCTCCCAGGTTCAAGCAATTCTCTGCCTCAGCCTTCCTAGTAGCTGGGATTACAGGTGCCCGCCACCACACCTGGCTATTTTTTTTTTTGTACTTTTAGTAGAGATGGGGTTTCACCATCTTGGCAAGGCTGGTCTTGAACTTCTGACCTCGTGACATACCTGCCTCGGCCTCCCAAAGTGCTGGGATTACAGGCATGAGCCACCGCACCTGGCTGGTGCAAAGAAACTTAAAAGTGACGTGGGCCGGGTGCGGTGGCTCATGCCTGTAATCCCAGCACTTTGAGAGGCTGAGGCAGGCAGATCACAAGGTCAGGAGTTCAAGAAGAGCCTGGCCAATATGGTGAAACCCTGTCTCTACCAAAAATACAAACATTAGCTGGGTGTAATGGTGGGTGCTTGTAGTCTCAGCTACTTGGGAGGCTGAGGCAGAAGAATCACTTGAACCCGGGAGGTGGAGGTTGCAGTGAATGGAGATGGCACCACGACACTCCAGCCTGGGTGACAGAGTGAGACACTGCCTCAAAAAAAAGAAAAAAAAATGTGGTATGAACCACAGCTAAACTACAATCAATTAGAGAGTAAGCCAAAGTATCTCAAAGTATATCATCAGTTATAAGGCAATAACATGCAATTTCTAAAACCTAACATAAATGCAGCTTTTAAAGACATTTTAAACGTGTCAGTTTAGTCACATTTATTGAATAAAGTTAGCAAATGGATATCTCTCAAAAATGAGAGCTCCAGGGAATTAAAAAATGTAACGTTCCCATTTCCTTTCTGTGTTAACACAGCTAATTATGATCTTTACTTAACATGCATAAGTCAACAGAACAACTCAGTATTTCACCAAATTAAAAACAAGAATTACGCTAGAGAAATGAAACCCTAAAAAGAAACGGTCATATAACGAACCTCAGTCAAGTAGTTCTTGCAGTTATTTGAGGTCTGGGGGTTTGAAGTAGGAATTCTTACGGGCATTTGGGGAATATATTTTCTGTTGAGTCCTATACTAGTAAGATTTTCAACACAAGGTGACTCTGGGCCTCGCCTTGTAGGAAGAGTGCTGAGAAAATATTTCACCCGCTCTTTCTCCATAAGGAGCTTGGTGCTGATCATTGCTATTTTCTTATTAGATCTATAAAGATAGCAAAGACAAATGCTTAGTATTTCATTTTTCCTTAAATGATTCTTAATGACTTGTAGTTTTTAAAAACTTGCCCTGAGAGTAAACCAAATTACCCACTAAACAGTGTTTTCACACTGAAGATGTGTGAGAGCATACCTGTTGCAAGGAATTATACTTTTAAAATCATTCTAAAGAAGCACCTGTGTTTCTAAGGTGATTTATACTGAACAAGCAGCTCAAACAGGGAAGAGAAATGGCTACCAGTGATGTATGGCTCAACAGGTAAAACTTGCTGCCTTCTAAAATGGCTCTACTTGAAAGATTCTGAAGATTCCACTTGAAATACTTGTATTTAAAGGGTAACAACATGGGAAAAGGAATATGTTGATTTGCTTGATTATAAGAACCACTTCACTAGAAATAATTATATCAAAACATCATGTTGTACTCTTTAAGGTAGGTTAAGAAAACTAAAATGAACAAAAAAAATCTAGGAATACTTGTGTTTAGTAAACCAGTTTTAGGTTTCACCCTTGTACATTTCACCAATTATCTAGGACCAATTAAACATTTGGTAATGAGGAATAATTCAGAGCAACAACTCCTAGGGGAGAACTAGATTGTTTGGTTGTTGATCAAAAAGAACTAAAGCATCTCTGAAGGCAATTAGCCCCCAGCACTGTGACCAAGGCACTGGAGGTGGGGCTTGTTCTTTTTGCCTTCCACACACCCCTTCAGACTGAACAAGGTGTTATTTTTTAACCACTTTGTGAATTACACTTCTTTAAATTCCTGTGATAATTATTCCCTATTTCATAAGGATGCCTTTCTATAACATCTTGAATATGTTACACAAATATTCTTTCTTGAGGCACCCTCTAGTGATAATACTAAAGATCACAATCAAAAACGATTGTGCCCAGAGTATCAGTACCACTTGACACTTTGGGTTTAGGTCGTGATCTACCGAAAAGTAAACTCATTAATATTACTATTTATGGAAATTCTGACAAGTAATTTAAAACAAGATCACTTTATTAATTATAAAGCTTCAAAAATACTTAGTAAAAAAACTAACAGATTAACTACAACAGACTTTTCAGGGGAAAAAAGCCATACAAAAACAAAACAAAAAAAAAATGAGAGGAGAGACAGAAACTATCCTTGACTAACATTTTAAAGGTAAGATTACTTACTAACATTATTTTCCAAAATTACATTGTCAAATTAGCATTCACTTCCTACTAATATCCTGAAGCCATCTCACTAAAAATTATGCTTTCAAAACAAATTAATGAGCTGAATTCATTTTCTATGAGTGTATGTTTGGACTTACTTCGTTAATTTTTTTGACATGGAATTGTTAGCTTTCAGTGCTGCTGCAAAGGCTTCCTTATATTCTTCTAATTTGGTTGTAACCTCTTCATAAGTAGTTTTCATTTTGGAGAATTTACATTCCACATCTTTAAGTGTGAGTTCCTTCTTATTTAGTGAAGCCGTATTATCCTTAACTGCTCTAATTGTTTTTCATATTGTGCTTGTTTCTAAAACAAATGAAAAGAATATATTTTTAAAATAATTATAACCTAATTATTATGTTTGTTGCCTTTCATTTTGAGCCAGTGATTCAAAGAGCAATTTTGAATATGTTAAAAAAAGAGGCTGAAGCTTAAAATATTTATCAGCAGTATCAAAACTAATAACTGAATTCAGAATAAAGTCTGATTTATAAAAATTTGAAATCATAATTATGTTAGTATTAACGTAATCTGGTCATATAAAAAGCAACAGAATCCATTCATAATTTTAAAAAGTGATCAACGAACAATGTAGCTTAAGACCAATTCAAAAGTATCACATAATTTCTAAATCACAACTTTTTCTTATGCCAACTGGTCTTAATCATCAAATGACTCCATAGTAAGAATCATTACTCTGAAAGATTGATTTTGTTATAATAATGGAAATTTAAATATTTAAAAGAAAAAACAGATGCCATTTTTTTTCTAAAACTCTACAAAGCAAATTGCTACAAGAGAGGCAGAGGAAACACAATATACACATATCCAAAATATAATTTGCGGTGAAATAAAGGAAAGCACATTACAGATAAACTTACCTGATTTAAAAAACTAACCTGTAAATGGATTTCTTCTAATTTTTCTACTGCCGGCATTGCCCTTTCATCTAGCTCCGATTTATATTCTTGTAGTTTACTAAGTTCTACCATATTGTTTTCCATATGTGTCTTAAGATTTAATATTTCTTCTTCCAACATCTTTTTATCCTCCTCAAGTTTTTCACATTCCTGTTGTACTTTTTTCATCGATAATAACTCCTGTTGAAGAACTTGATTGTCTTTAGCCAAATTGACACATTTTGAAGATACAGCTTCCTTCTCTACTGTAAGATCATCAAACTGCATGAATAAAATAGTATAGCTTGATAATGAAGTAGGCTGAGAATAATCTAATACAAAATCAATAGCAAATTTTGAAATGCATTTACTTGGAATAAACTGTTATTTGTAGTGCAGTAAATTATTCAAATGTGAACCCTTAAATTACTCAGAATTTTAAGAACAAAGTTAAAGCTACCATGAGTCACAAAAATACATTATTTAACTATCATCATCTTTGCCACAGAACTTTTGCACTTCATCTTACTTTTATTTTTCTGATAATTTTTTGTTCCTCCTTAAATGGCACTAAGCTATCTCTTAGTAAAAAGTGTCTATCCCCCTTCCCTCATTATCATTCCCCATAATATGTCAAAAAAAGTTTCAGAAATATCACATTGAGTTATTTAGGCCGAAGTCAATAAATGGCTCTAGGAATAAGACTTTGAAAATAATATAACACTCTATACTAGGCATGGTGGCTCGTGCCTGTAATCCTAGCACTTTAAAAAGCTGTGGCAGAAAGATTACTTGAGGCCAGGAATTTGAGATCAGCCAGAGCAACATAGTGAGGCCCCATCTCTACAAAAAAAAATTTTTTTTAATTAGCCGGGCATGGTGGCTCATGTCTGTAGACCCAGCTATTTGAGAGACCGAGGCAAAAGGATGGCTTGTACCCAGAGTTCAGGGCTGCAGTGAATTATGACCACATCACTGCCCTTCTGCCTGGATGACAGACAAAGACCATATCTCAAAAAAACACAAAATAATGAATCCTATAAATAAGTATTCTGATGCCATAAGCCTTTCCTTAAACTGCAAATGTTTCATGCTAATTTGAGTTGCATTTTAAGAAGTAATGATTCTTGGGGTAAAGGCCATAGAATACAGCACCTAGAAATAAATCCACATATTTCCAGCCAAGTGATTTTGGATGAACGTGCCAAGAACATACACTGGGGAAAGGACAGCCTCTTCAAATGAATGGCGCTGGGAAAACTAAATATCCATATGGAGAAGAATGATACTAGCTTCCTATGTAACACCATATAACAACATAAACTCAGAATCAATTGAAGACTGAAATGCAAGGCCCAAAATTATCAAACTACTATAAGTAAACATAGGGAAAGTTCTTGAGGACAGTCTGCACAAAGATTTTTATGGGTAAGATATCAGAAGCATAGGCAAAAAACAAATGATAGACAAATGGTACTACATTAAGCTAAAATGCTTCTGTCCAGCTAACAACTGAGTGAAGACAAAACTTGTAGAATGGGAGAAAATATCATCAAGCTATTAATCTAATAAGGGACTAATATCCAAAATGTACAAGAAATTCAAACAACTTGACAGTAAAAAAAAAATCTGAGTTCAAAATTGGGCAAAATATCTAACTATACTTTTTTTTTAGAAAAAAGAAATACAAATAGCCAATAAATAAATTTAACAATGCTCAGTATCACTAATCCTCAGAGAAATACAAATCAAATCTACAATATGATATAATCTTGCTTCAATTTGAATAAATTATTATCATTGAAAAGATAAAAAAAAAATGCTGGTGAGGTTCCAGAGAAGAGTAAACTCTTACGTGCTGTTGGTGGCAAGGTAAATTAGTGCAGCCACTATAGAAAACAACATGAGGTTTCCTCAAAAAATTAATAATGGAACTGCCGAGGGATCCAGCAAGCCCACTACTGGGTATTCAGGCAATAGAAAAGAAAACAATAGATCAAAAGGATACCTGTCCTCATATGTTTATTGTAGCACTATTCACAACGGCTAATGTATGGAATCAACCTACATATCCATCTCCAAATGAAAAGAAAAAAAACTGTGGCACACATACACAATGGAATACTATTCACCGTATAAAGGAATTAAATCCTGTTATCGTGGCCACGTGGATCAGTCTGGAGGATGTTATGTTAAGTGCAGACACAGAAAGATAAATACTGCACATTCTCACTCCTGTGTGGGAGCTAAACAAAAATTGAGGGCTGGGCAACATGGCTGACGCCTGTAATTTCCTAGCACTTAGAAAGACAAAGGCAGGAGAGTCACTTGAGGCCAAAAGTTCCAGAGCACCTGGGCAGCATAGGGAGATATTTCTATAAAGTCAAAAATCAGACGGGTGCAATGGTGCATGCTCAATAATCCTAGCTTCTCAGGAGGCTGAGGTGTGAGGATCACATGAGCCCAAGAGTTGGGGGCTGCAGTGAACTATGATCAAACCACTGTCTCCCATCTGGGTGACTATAGTTGCCCAGAGCCCAGACTACACTAGCAAGACCCTGTCTCTTAACAACAACAAAAATCTCAAAGAAGTAGGGGAAGGTAGGTTGGTTAATGGATATAGAATTACAGTTAGATAAGAAGAATGAGTTCTGGTGTTCTGCGGCATTGTAGGGTGAATATGGTTAACTATGATTTCTTGTATATTTTTAAAAAGCCAGAAGATTGTGAATGTTCACAATTCAAAGAAGTGAAAAATGGTTGAAGTAGTAAATGTGCTAGTTAGCTTGATCATTACACCCTATTTACATGTATCAGAATATCACTCTATAACACAATTATGTATATATGTGTCAATTAAAACAAAAGAGAAGTTACATCGATCCCATTTAAAAAAACAGAATATGGGCCAACCTTACTGACTTCCTCCTAATGAATAGAATGCAGTAAAAGGGATACCATGTGGCTTACCTATCTCAGACTGTTTTCCCTTGGAACCCAGCCCCCAGATTGTGAGAGCACTCAGGCCACAAAGAGAACCTGGCAGTGCCAGTGTCAGTGTTCATACTGCCTGTCCCAACCAAGGTTCTAGCCAATGGCCAGCATCAACCATCAAACACGTGGGTGAGTAACGCTTCAGAGGATTCCATTTCCCCAACTGATAGCTGTTCCTAGGGAAGCTGAGGGGAGTAGAGACGAGCTGTCCTGGCCAAGCTTTTTCCAAACCACAGGTTCATTAACAAAATAAATATTTTTCTTTTAAGCCACAAAACTGTGGGTAATTGTTAGAAAAGTAACTTTTAAAAAGAGACAACAGGAAACATAACTTATGCAGCAGAAAAGAGTCTCCTTTAAAGTAGGATCTAATAAATGTTGAGGTTAATTTATTGATGGCAAACATTATTGAGAAGCAGCAGATAACCAGGACAGAGACATAAGCTGCTGAGGAGGAACTTTTCCTAAAACTCCTTCAATTATGAACTCTGATAACAAGGCAAGGGTGTCTCCTTACGGTTTCCCCTCAAGTTAGGAAATAAGACTGGGAAGCAAGAAGAAGACATATGGTATGAAAAAAAACTAGAAATACTTGGTTACACAATCAAAATCAGACATTTACCTGATTTGAATTAACTAAAATTCTAAAAGATAAGCTTTCAGTATTTATTAATCAATCTAGTATTTAATTTTTATTTTCCTTTTCTCAATGAGGAAATGAGAACATTATGAAATGATTTTTAGTCTTCACAGAAGTAAAATAAACATAGTGTGCTTTGAGTGTTAAGCAATCAAGTGCAATTTCTCCTTTACCTTACTTCAAGCTTGTTTGTTTGGAGAAGTTAAGACCATCCCATCTCTATGCTCTACCACAAGACTTCTCTATAGCACACAACTTGGCTCTGAAATTTTGAAAGTCAAAATACTAATCTACTATGTGTCTCTGATAAATTGCCTGAATATTACCTGATTTTGAAGTGCTGCACTCCTAAGACCTTTTCTTGGAATGAGTTAAACTTTATATTCCAGGAATCCTCTACTGAGCTAGAAAGCAGAGCTGTGCATCTCTGTTTCAGTAAAAGGCGGTCAATACAGCTAACTGTGGTTTCTGAGAATGCAAGATCTGCACCAAGAAAAGGATTAGCCACAGTGCTACCCAAGAGAACCAGCTACCAGGGGGAAAGAGGATCTGTGAACTGCAAGATGATGACTTCACTTGATTTCCACTGAGGAAAGCTGGCGGCTCAGACTTAAACTTCTCCTTCCTGGATGGTAAACATCTATGGAAGATTCTATGAATTATAATGAGTTAGCAAAACATAATGCACTAAATATTAGACTATGTCAGCAGATCCTGTGACCAAAACTTACTGAAAACAAAACTATAGCGGGAGGCAATGAAAAAGAGACTAAAGATTTGAATGGAGAAAAAATAAATAAAGTATGTCTTATAGGCCTGGCTTCCCATCATGTCTTAGAGTAAGTGAGGTATAAGCTGGCCAGAGACTCCTTTGAGACACAAAAGGTGAAATTAAAGATATTCCACTAAATTTAATTTTTTATTACAACATAAGACAACTGGTAATATGCAACATGATTGAAAAAAACTTCTCAGTAAATTCATTTTGGCCTTGGCATAAGAATAGACATAAACAAAGAATTGATAATCTAAAAATAAACTTGTGCATTTACAGTCAATTGATTTTATATAAAGTTAACAAAAGAACAAAATGGGAAAAGAATAGTCTTTTCAACAAATGGTGCTGGGACAACTGGGTATCCATATGCAAAAAATAAATAAATTAGGACCAAATATCTTTTTTAAAAATTAACTCAAAATAAAACAGTTAACTGTAACAGCTAAAACTATAAAACTCTCAGAAGAAAACCCTGGCATAAATATTTGTGACTGCATTTGGCAGTGTTTTCTTAGCTATGACTCCAAAGGAAAAACGGATTCAATGGACTTGAAAATTGAAAACTGCTGTGCCTGAGAAGACAGTATCAAGAAGTGAAAAGGCAAGACACTAAGTAGAAGAAAGTATATGAAAAGCATATACCTGATAAGCGACTTACATATATAGGATATGTAAAGAACCTTTGCAATTCATGAGTAACAAGATAATTCAATTTTTAAAATGGGCAAAGATTTTGAATAGATGTATCTGCAAAGAAGATGAAAAGATGGATAATGAGCACATTAATAGATGCTTGATGTAATTAGTCATTAGGAAAATGTAAATCAAAACCACATGTGGTATCACTTCACACCACAGGATAAAATCTTTGTTCAATAAAAAAGAGAAAATGTGTTAGGAAAAATGTAAAGAAATTAAAACCCTTATCCAATGCTGCTGGAGATGTAAAGTGATGCAGCCGCTTTGGAAAACAAACTGGCAGCTCCTCAAAAGGTTAAGCATGAAGTTACCATACAACCCAGAAATTCCAGTCATAAGTATATACTCCAGAAAAATAAAAATCATGGAAGCACAAAAACTCATACATAAATGTTTACAGCAGCATTATTAATATGAGTCAGAAAGTGGAAAGAACCAGAACGTCCATCACCTTTGGGTGGGAAAGAACCCAAAGGTCCATTACCTGGTGAATGGATAAATAAACTGTTTGATGTATCCATACAATGGAATATCACTCAGCAATAAGAAGAAATTAAGTACTGATACTGTATTAGAAGGAGACAGCAAAATGCCTAGGCAGATATGGAAGGGTCCCTGGAGAATCTCCAACCAGCCCCACAAGTGTTTACACCAGAAGTTAAGTGCAGATAAGGGAACCTGGACTTGTCTTGCCTGGACATGCCTGCAGCAGATCAGAGGCCCACATGCACTGGGGGGATGGGGTGGAGCCACCAGGAATTCACGCCTTATGCAGGGGAGGAGCCTGGCCACTTCAGCTCATGTGCTCCTGGTATTCAATTGTGAGGTGGAAACCTGTTTGCAGGACCACTCTCTTTGCTGAGAGCTTTCCTTTCACTTAATAAATTCTGTCCTCCTCACCCTTCAATGTGTCTGCGTGCTTAATTTTTCCTGGTCATGAGAGAAGAACCCAGATGTAGCTGAACTAATGAGAAAAACCCCACATCAATACCTGCTACAGCACAGATGCAGCATGAAAAATTATGCTAAGTGAAATAAGCCAGTCACAGTAGACCACTTGCTTTTTATTTCAGAGGCTTATAGGCAAATCTATATAAAGGAGGTTGGTGGTTCCCTACGGCCGACGGAGGAAGGGAAACTAGTGAAGATGGCTAAGTGATGTGGGGTTTGTTTTCAGGGTGATGAAAATGTTCTAAAATTGATTGTGATGATGACTGCATAACTCTCTGAAAATACTAAAGTCAATGACTCGTATATTTTAAATGAGTGACTTGCATGGTGTGTTCATTATTTCTCAATAAACCTGTTACCCAGCCCCCCCAAATTAATTTGGTACTAGTGGTCTGGAGACAGGTACTGCTTGGTTTCAGATCACTGGCCAGAGTTAAAGACATAAGAGAATCAACAGCATGTCCTTTTTATAGAAAAAAGGTTTATATTTTAAAAACTATCCTTTTCATTAGTATCAATTCTGTAAAATTAAATGAAAAATCTTTCTTTGACTGCTTAAAGCACTGAGAGATTTATATTGAGGAATAAGACCTCATTTTCTTTGGCCCCGATTTCTATCTAAAGGGTCTGAGAATCACACACTTCAAACTATTAAATCTCATCAGATGGGTTTTATTAACTCTTATAATGTGGATTACTTTCTCACCTGATTCTGGTACAGCATCACAGAGAGAAGAAGCTGAAGGAAATCAAAATATTTAACCCCCAAATATATTTTTCTGACATATTTTGAAATGGCTGCTGCAGGGCCAAGAGATTGAAATGGCCCTCATTAATGTAGCCCAATCTCTCCCCTTCTAGGTCTTCCCAGATCTGGGGAAGATGAACTAAGAGGCTGATGCATTTAAAGTCTGAAAAGATATATTTATCCTCTATTTTCTCAACATATTTTGGTAGAATTTGGGTTTTTCCATTATCAATATGTTCCCAAATTACTTGATTTTTAATCCCAAAACTGATTTAAAATTACCGTATGTTGGAATATAAGTTATTCTGTTATAAAGATACGTGCATTTGCATGTTCATTGCAGCACTATTCACAATAGCAAAGACATGGAATCAACCCAGATGTCCATCAGTGATAGGATAAAGAAAATGTGGTATATATACATCATGGAGCCATAAAAATGAATGAGATCATGCTCTTTGCAGGGACATGGATGAACTCGAAGCTGTTATCCTCAGCAAACTAATGCAGGAACAAAAAACCAAACACTACATTTTCTCACTTATAAGTGGGAGCTGAACGATGAGAACACATGGACTCGCGGAGGGGAACAACAAACACTGGGGCCTGTTGGGGTCAAGAGGGAGAGCATCAAGATCAATAGCTAATTCCTGCGGGGCTTAATATCTAGGTGATGGATTGACAGGTGCAGCAAACCATCATGGCACACGTTTACCTATGTAACAAACCTGCACATCTCACACATGTAATCTAGACCTTGATATTTTCTTTAAAAAATTACCTTATGTTTTAGCTTCTTAATCAGAATATTCATTTTCAGTTGATCTGTTTTTAAGTCTCCATGGCAATCGAAGTCTTCATTTCCAAATACACTTAACATATTTATTGTCATTTCCAGGAATTTCTTATATCTGCAGAAATGTACAGAATTAGTAAGTCAAATATTTTTAAGAGTAAATATTTTAAAATTGTTTAAACAGATATTATGTTATAGCATATCAAAGAAACACATCTATAAACTATGATCCTTTCAGTTTCAACTGAGCATAGTTTGGAAGCACCCTATATGAAAGTATAATCTTAGATAAATAATATGAAGAACAATTTTATGGCATATATGGCAGGTAAAGTGGTATCACAACCATACAGTTTTTGTTGTTTTTTTTTTTTTTTTTGAGATGGAATTTCACTCTTGTTGCCCAGGCTGAAATGCAATGGTGTGATCTCGGCTTACTGCAACCTCTGCCTCCTGGATTCAAGTGATTCTCCTGCCTCAGCCTCCCAAGTAGCTGGGATTACAGACATGCAGCACCACGCCTAGCTCATTTTGTATTTTTAGTAAAGATGGGGTTTCACCATGTTGGTCAGACTGGCCTTGAATGGTCAGACTGGTCTTGAACTCCTGACCTCAAATGATCCACCCACCTTGGCCTCCCAAAGTGCTGTGATTACAAGTGTGAGCCACCACACCTGGCCTAACCATACACTTTTTGTAAATAAACTATTCATATCCATGTTGGTATGCTAAGATAAAATAACCTATTACTAAATATAAGCCATAACCCAGAAATGAGTAACCAAGATAAAAAAGTAAAACACATACATTTGAAAAAGACAAAAAATTACATTTTAATACCCATTCACAGTCTATAAGAAGAAAAAAAAGTACACACAAAAAGCATCAAGGACATTATTCAATGTAGAAAAAGAGAAGACCAAGAAAGGGGCAGAGAGATGTGTGACGATTTAAAGACTTTGAAGAAGAGATCTAGAGATCTTTGCTGACATAATGTCAACAAAATGAAAGAGATACAAAACAATGTAGAGAAAGGCAATGACAGAAAAATGTAGATTAGAATCAGAAAACCAACTTAAGTGCTCAGTAAATAAATAGAAAAGTAGCTGTGTTCAGGGCTTCAAAGACACATTCCATTTTAAAAAAAAATCTGTGATCAAAACATGAATGCTCATTTTAAGTTATACATATATTTTTATATATATGAAATTTATTTCTATAAAACAGAAGTTTAATAACATGTATACTTCGTGTATACAATGGAGGTATCTGTGTAAAATGAGTACATTTCCATATGTTTTATGTCTAAAAGAAAAAGAAGCAGAAACAAAATAGAAGCTATATATCAAGATAAATTTTGATGTTAAAGAATGACACAATAGGTCTTCTTTAAAGAATTTGAATGCAGCAGAGGATACTACAAAAGGAAGAAAAGATGACCACAGACAGCAAAAATAACTTCAGAAATAAAAATTCAAACTAGGTAATGAAGAGTGGACTTGACATTATATGCCCAAGGCTTTGTCATTGTTTTCAAAATCATTAAAGAATAAGCGTCCGGGCACGGTGGCTCGTGCCACTTTGGGAAGCTGAGTCGGGCAGATCACGGGGTCAGGAGTTTGAGACCAGCCTGACCAACTTTGCAAAACCTCCTCTCTACTAAAAAATACAAAAATTAGCCGGGTGTGGTTGCACATGCCTGTAATCCCAGCTACTCAGGAGGCTGAGGCAGGAGAATTGCTTGGAGGCATAGGTTGCAGTGAGCCAAGATGGCGCCATTGCAATCCAGCCTGGGAGACAGAGGCACTGTCTCAAAAAAAAAATAATAAATAAAAGTAAAAATAAATAAATAAATAATATTTTGGCATTCAAAAAATTTTCAGATGTTTCTCTTTTATACATATTTTAATACAAATTTTTTCATCCCAACCTCACCCCAGCAGCTCAGCTGACTCCCAACCCCATGATGCACATGCCCATAAAGTTGTGTTGTGAGTTTCTGAAATACATTTTAAAATAGAATTCATTTAATTATGAAAATGGAGACATAAAATGAATTTGTATCTCAGTTTTAGTCAAGTAAAATTAGTGATAAATCAATTAATAAATGATTAACATGTTCTACAATATGAAAACCACACCCAGTTGCCTCTTCTTCTAATTCATGATTTTTCTTTCTTATTTGATTCACATTATACTCCAGTGATGATACTAACTTAAAAAGTTTCCTTAATTCTTCATTTTTTTCTTCAGGCTTAAAAAAAACTGTTTAAAATTATTTTTGTAAAATCTAGAGACCCTCTTTTATCTTAAAAATATTATTTCTCATAAGTTGATAAGTAATATGTATTTAGGCAGGGGTATAAAGTGCATTTTATAAACCTGATGCCAATAAGTGCAGATTTCAAAAACAGTCACTTTTCTTAAAACTGCTAAAAATGATACATACTTTCATTATATTTTCTGAAATTTAAACTGCCAAAAATGTTCGTTACAAACAAGGGTTTTTACACATAAAATACTAAAGGTTAGTAAAAAATGTGTAGTTATATTTACATTTTACTTTTTAAAGATGCTCTAGAAACATTGTCATTAATAGTTTAAGATATTCCAAGTTTTCTTAAATTACATCTTACTAAGACGATTTTTAGAAAACTCTTATCTATTCCCCATTACATTTTTGATCCTCATCTGTCTTCAGGTTGAGCTAAATACTGTCATTCTCTGTAAGTATTCACCCACAGGTTTCAGTTTTTCCCTTTCTCTTAACCCTTTCTCTTTAAATAAAGTTTTTTTCTATAATAAACAAAAACACAACTTTTGTCTACTTTTTGTGGTTTTTCTATTATCCTGTTTCTCCCCTTCCACTGGACTCTGTGACACATGGTCTCATCCAGAAATCTATTTTTCATCACTTATTGTGTTTTTAATATGGAAATCTGATTTTTCATAATTCCAATAAAAAAGTCCAAGGGTCATGAAGGACTTTATCCTCCTTTACTCAGCAGCAGCTGCGAGCAGTGACCAAATGTTCCCTCTGCTCCTCTGACCCCGCTTCATTTCTAAATGCAGCAACCTCTGTTCTTCAGTCCTATTCCTTTCTGTTTGTTTTTGAGATGGAGTCCCCCACTGTCACCCAGGCTGGAGTGCAGTGGCACAATCTCAGCTCACCGCAACCTCCGCCTTCTGGGTTCAAGCGATTCTCCTGCCTCACCCTCCCAAGTAGCTAGGATTACAGGCGTGTGCTACCACACCTGGCTAATTTTTCATATTTTTAGTAGAGATGGGGTTTCACTATGTTGGCCAGACTGATCTTGAACTCCTGACCTCATGATCTGCCTGCCTTGGCCTCCCGAAGTGCTGGGATTACAGGCGTGAGCCACCACGCCTGGCTGCTATTCCACTTTTTAAATTCTCTCAGGACTCCTAAAATCTCAAAACTTTGACCTAGATTCCCTAATCTGCATTTCGAGCTCTGACCTTTTTCTTGAGGCCTCTTCCTTCTAGTACACATATTATAGACAATATTCTCAACCACACGCTCAAGACATTGCTACTTGGTACAGATTACTTTTGTAGATAGTGAATCTTGTCTATTTTATGTTGGTTCTTATTGATGTTACTTTGAGTATACCGTTATTTTCTAATCTTAAAGGGGGACAGTCTCACCATTATGATATTGACCAGTATACTTTGTCCTTTTTTTCTTTCTTTCTTCTTTTTTGGACCAGTATACTTTGTCCCTTTTTTTCTTTTTATTTTTCTTTTTGAGATGGAGTCACACTGTGTCATCCAGGCTGGAGTGCAGCGGCGCCATCTTGGCTTACTGCAACTTCCACCTCCTGGGTTCAAGTGATTCTCCTGCCTCGGCCTCCCAAGTAGCTGGGACTACAGGTGCACACCACCACGCCTGGCTAATTTTTGTATTTTCAGTGCAGACAGGGTTTCACCATGTTGGTCAGGCTGTTTTTGAACTCCTGACCTCAGGTAATCCACCCACCTCAGCCTCTCAAAATGTTGGGATTACAGACGTGAGCCACGGCACCCAGCCCTTTTTTCTTTTATAATGAAAACTTTCCCATGAGAATCAGATTATCAATTGTTTGCCTTTGTTTTATTTTAAAGAGTTTCCTTTTCCAGAGATATGGCATGATGAAAGTCTTGTTCTAAAGTTTCTAAAGTTTCTTTTGGGGGACACTCAAATATATCACTGGGAAGCTCCAGTCAAGTAGACATCTCCCTTCTTCCCATTTGAGATTCTTCATCTCAAAACAGTGTCCACCAAATGTCTTCATCCAGGTAGTCTCTTGCTTAGAAATTCAGGAGATAAGAACCTTCTTGAGAAGTTAGAGGCTATTGATTGAGATGGTTTAATGCTGTCCCTTATTATATGTTTTACTCCCAAGGCAGACATCAAAGTGGCTAACAATACTATGCCTGATGTCTAACTCACTTCTATGGGAATCTATACAAAACGTTTTATTTATGAGACAGAGTCTCACTCTGTTACCCAGACTGGAGTGTAGTGGCTTGATCAACACGCACTGCAGGCTCAATATTCCAAGCTCAAGCGACCCTCCTACCACAGCCTCCCAATGTAGCTGGGACTACAGGCATGCATCACCATGCCTCTAAGTATTTATTTATTTATTTTTTAAAGACAGGTTCTCATTATATTGCTCTGGCTAATCTCAAACTCCTGGGCTCAAGCGATCCTCCTACCTCAGCCTTCCAAAATGCTAGGATTACTTGCATGAGCCACCTCCCCCAACCAGGTGTTTAACTGGGGACTAACATGAAGCACTTACAAGAGTACGTGGAACATAGTGAGCTACATAAAATATTTGCTATTAGCATAATAATTTTATTGTATATCTTAACAAAATTGTGTATGTTAGGCAGGTGGCATGCCAATGAAAGTAGTCTCCTATAGCTGCACTGAATCATTCTTCCCACCACTGAGAGTTGCAGCAAATGGGGGGCATATAATTTATAACTTACTTTTACTTTTCTCTGTGTATGACTCAGTAGGCAATGACTATGTATGTACTACAATGTAAATAGCATCTCCTGGATGGAATAGTACATAACTGACATGACCAGTAGAGACAGGCTAAAGACACTGAGCTTAAAACCCTGGACTCTATTGCTAAACCAAGGCTCCTGAATCTGTTCCCTCTGAGCAACTGTTGCTGTGGTGCTGCCTTCGCAAGCACTCTGCTGAGCACTGAGATTGAGGGGCTGTGCTATCCGTCATCAGACAAGCTGCAGCCAGAACTGTTCAGCTGACAAACTGGGAGCAGTCCAGAAATACAGTAATGGCTGCATAGTGAAAAAAGGCCAATTTAGATTCTTTTTCTTAGAGAGAAAAACATAAACATGTGATTGAACGAGTCTCCTCTATTAGACTAATTGGTTTAGATTTGATATTTAATTGCTAAAAATACATTTAGAATATAAATCTTACTGTGTCAAGGTCTCAAAGAACAAATAATTGGTATGGTATAAAGTATTTAATTGTATGCTAAAAATTTCTAAGCTAAAATATTTTCAATTTATGCAAGGATAGGTGCCATACATATTATATATTATTCCCCCATTAAGCAAATTTATACTGAGACAAAATTATCTTCCATAAAAAAGAAAAAGCCACATAAAATTAAGGACTAAGTTTTTCTGCACAGACTGGACAACAATTCCTAACACATAAGGTCAATGAGAATCAGAACAGTCAGAGAAAGCTTCATAAAAACAAAAAAATTGTCTGCCAGGTCTGAATGAATGAGGCTAGATGAACAGAAACTGAGAAGGCAGAAAGGATAGCATGAGCAAGACAAGTGCTGAAATCTGCCCAATTAACTCTGAGGATAAAGTCCAATGGCAGGGAAATAAAAACACATGTCCACATAATAACCCCTAAGTGAATGTTTGCAGCAGCATTTTTCATAATAGCTAGAAGTGGAAACTAACCTAAATGTCCATCAACTGATGAATGAATGGAAAACCAGTATAGCCATGCAATAGAGTATCATTTAACTATAACAAGAAATAAACTACCAATGTGTGCTAAAACATGCATGAATTCTGAAAACATTAAGCTAAGTGAAAAAGCCAGTCACAAAGGACTATGTATTGTCTAACTCTATGTATATGAAATATGCAGAACAGGCAAACCTATGGAGACAAAAGTAGATGGTGTTTGCCTACAACAGGGGTAGGTGGAGGGACATGGAGGAAGGCTGCAGTCATGCCTAGGAGATGTGGGGTTGCTTTTCAGGGTGATGAAAATGCTGTGAATATACTAACAGATACTGAGTTGCACATTTTAAATGGTTGACCTGTCAGATACATGAATTATATCTCAGTGAAACTGTTTTTAAAATACAATGGCAGGATCAAGATAATTTTCTCAGCTCTCAATTTTTGATGTACATACTATATCAGATCTAAATATTTCTATACTTTTATAGTATATTTTAAATAAAAGGTAAATAAAGAAAATGCCTTACTTTTCAAATAGTTTGTAAATTGACATAAAACATGTACATTTCAAAGAACAGTATAACGGCCTTTCTATACAAGTTAACTTAGAATCTGTGAAATAGACACAGATTCTGTGTCCTTTCACAAAAGTGAAGAAATAAGACAATTTTCTGGAACATTCCATTAAACATTGTCCTCTGATTTAATCTGGCCTGCCTCATCATAGCAATACAAAAATTACTTGAAAATATGTTTAACAGGAAAAAAGTCAATTTTCTCTGAGGAATAATGTATAATTATCAACTTTTCCAAGGGTACATATTGTAAGAGAAAAGGTATGAAATCCTTTTTCAAAATGGTAGAACAAAAGTCACAATATAAAAAAAAAGTACATTATAAAGATAGTAAAATGGAAATAATTAATTATAATGAAAGTACAAAATCAAGCTTCTGCCAAAATTAGTATCCTAAAACATGTTATATAATTCAACCAGCTACAGAATAACTGTCGACATGTTAAATTCCATACATACTTGACTTTCCACTTGAAATAATTTCTTCTTTGAGGCCTGTGTCTCATCCAAATTAATGTGACAACATGATGTACCTTCCAGTGGAGACTCTAACATAGTTAATTTTTTAAGGGAATCAGCCACTTCTTGTTGAAGTTGTCTCACAACCACCTGATAAAATATTTTTGTTGCTGATTTTATAAATTGCCTTATTATTAAATTATGTTAATAACATTTAACTCTAACATACCTACTTTGAAAATTATCTCACACACATCAGTTCACCTTCTTTTCATCACATGTACACATTTTTATTTATTACTGAATTCAGTGAGGGATGCAGAATGTGTTATCCTCCTGCCAAATTGGTGTTCTCTTAATACAACAGATTCATCCCACCATTCAATCATCTTAGAAGCTCAACTCAACCTCAAAGTTCCTAACATAATCAACTGTTCAAATCCTTCCAACAGATTCCTGTCTCAGAATAAAAGTAAAATTCCAATGGCCTCTGAGGCCCTAGGTAAACAGGCCTCTACCTCCCTCTCTGACTTCAAGCTCCTACAACTCCCTCCTATAATTACTCCATTCCCACTGTACGTGAAGCCTGCCACCCCTCTTTAGTCTGAAAATGGGGATCTAATGCCTAACTCATAAATCACAGGCAGCTACAGTATCTTTGTACTGGACAAAGTTATATTCAAATGATAGTCATTGAGCCTTGAAATAAAAATTATGAGCTAATTATTAATAAAAATATTCAAAGTAAATTATGAATACCAGTGGGAAGACTAAATCAAATATAGTTTTGCTAAAATTTACATTTACCCTAAATTATAATTTTATAACAAGTAGGTGCCTTTAAAACATTACATGGTCATAAAAATATGTAATTTGAGACTGACATATTTTCAGATTTAAGTTAAATTAATATGAATAATAATAAAGCTATACCAACTAAAATATATAAAAAACTACTTAAAGCAAGATATTACAAGACACAGCAATACACTTCATCTGGGAAATCTACAATTAAGTGTTGAAGCAAATCAATTAAATTTTAATTTGAAAACACTCATTTCAGGTGTAAACATTTCCATTTATACCTTCATCATGGTCTTAACATGTGGCAACATAAAGACATTAAAATTATTATTTCAGCACTACAGGACTATCTACCTTAAAATATGACTCTGTGCCTAATAAAATGTCATAGGTGACACAATGTCTTCTCTCAAAGTAAATCATCTCTCACCTCTATGGAAACAAGGTATGTTTCTAAGCTGATGTAATAAACACATTTTTCTTTTTTTTTTAAATCAAAAAGCTTTGTTAAAATATAATTTACATACTATAGATGTATCTGTTTTAACATAAAGTTAAAGATTTTCAGTACATTTTCTGAGCTGTGCAGCCATCTCTACAATCCAACTTTAGAGCATTTCCATCACTGCAAGATCCCTCACGCCCATTAGCAGTCACTACCACCTTCCAGCCCCAGCCCTTTGCAAACATTAATCTACTTTTTGTACCTATACATTTCTCTTTTCTGGATGCTTCATGTAAATGGAATTATACAGTATAGTAAACACACTTTTTATCTACTGATTTTTATATTCAACTAGGTTCAACATGTATCCAGAACCAAATGTTTAAATTTTCTTTCTAGAAGTTTGAAAATATTTATTTTCCTTGATACTTACTACTGTTTCTGCTTTCTGTCTCTCATATTGAAAGAGACTTTCTTTTAAATGATCATATTCATTCATTAGCTTCTTATTTTTCTCTTCTAGCATGAGGTCTTTCTACTCTCAATAAAGCCTCTTTGGATATTAATTACTATCTCTTTATGATCCTCTTTCTGATGAACATCAACTAGTTGCTGTTCAAGCCATGGATTTTCACGTTGGAGTTGACATATCCTCTCTTCTACACAGTTCCACTTTCCAGTGGATTTACTGACTTTAGCTTCTGCACTTTGATACATCTCTTTCATTTCCTTTATTTGCTGCTGTGTTTGGCTTAGGTCATTTTGTACAGTTTCTAAAGCCAATGACTTTTTTCTGAGAGTATCTCTTGTCTTACAGAACTTATCTTTTTTTTTCTTGTACCTTTTTTTTTTAATGTTTATTGATCATTCTTGGGTGTTTCTCGGAGAGGGGGATGTGGCAGGGTCATAGGATAATAGTGGAGAGAAGGTCAGCAGATAAACACGTCAACAAAGGTCTCTGGTTTTCCTAGGCAGTGTTTGTGTCCCTGGGTACTTGAGATTAGGGAGTGGTGATGACTCTTAAGGAGCATGCTGCTTTCAAGCATCTGTTTAACAAAGCACATCTTGCACCGCCCTTAATCCATTTAACCCTGAGTTGACACAGCACGTGTTTCAGAGAGCTCGGGGTTGGGGGTAAGGTTATAGATTAACAGCATCCCAAGGCAGAAGAATTTTTCTAAGTACAGAACAAAATGGAGTCTGCTATGTCTACTTCTTTCTACACAGACACAGTAACAATCTGATCTCTCTTTCTTTTCCCCACATTTCCCCCTTTTCTTTTCAACAAAACCGCCATCGTCATCATGGCCCGTTCTCGATGGTCGCTGTCTCTTCGGAGCTGTTGAGTACACCTCCCAGATGGGGTGGCGGGGTAGAGGCGCTCCTCACTTCCCAGACAGGGCGGCCAGGCAGAGGCACTCCTCACTTCCCAAATGGGGTGGCCGGGCAGAGGCGCTTCCCATTTCCCAGATGGGGCGGCCGGGCAGAGGCGCTCCCCACTTCCCAGATGATGGGCGGCCGGGCAGAGGCGCTCCCCCCATCCCAGATGGGGCGGGCGGGCAGAGGCACTCCTCACCTCCCAGACGGAGCGGCCGGGCAGATGCACTCCCCACTTCCCAGACGGGGCGGCCGGGCAGAGACGCTCCTCACTTCCCAGACGGGGCAGCTGCCGGGCAGAGGCGCTCCTCACTTCCCAGATGGGGAGGCCAGGCAGAGGCACTCCTCACCTCCCAGACGGGGTGGCGGCCGGGCAGAGGCACTCCCCACTTCCCAGACAGGGTGGCAGCTGGGCAGAGGCGCTCCTCACATCCCAGACCGGGCAGCCGGGCAGAGGTGCTCCTCACTTCCCAGACAATGGGCAGCCGGGCAGAGGCGCTCCTCAATTCCCAGACAGGGCAGCCGGGCAGAGATGCTCCTCACCTCCCAGATGGGGCGGCCGGGCAGAGGCGCTCCTCACTTCCTCCCAGATGGGGCGGCCGGGCAGAGGTGCTCCTCACTTCCCAGACGGGGCAGCCGGGCAGAGACGCTCCTCACCTCCCAGACGGGGCGGCCGGGCAGAGACACTCCTCACCTCCCAGACAGGGCGGCTGGGCAGAGGTGCTCCTCAATTCCCAGCCAGGGCAGCTGGGCAGATGCTCCTCACATCCCAGACAGGGCAGCTGGGCAGAGGCGCTCCTCACTTCCTAGACCAGGTGGCGGCCGGGCAGAAGCATTCCTCACTTCCCAGACGGGGCGGCTGGGCAGAGGCGCTCCCCACTTCCAAGACAGGGCAGCCGGGCAGAGGCGCTCCTCACTTCCCAGACAGGGCGGCCAGGCAGAGGCGCTCCCCACATCCCAGACGGGGCGGCCGGGCAGAGGCGCTCCTCACTTCCCAGATGGGGCGGCCGGGCAGAGGCGCTCCTCACTTCCCATTTGGGGCAGCCAGGCAGAGGCGCTCCTCACTTCCCAGACAGGGCAGCCAGGCAGAGGCACTCCTCACTTCCCATTTGGGGCAGCTGGGCAGAGGCGCTCCTAACTTCCCATTTGGGGCAGCAGGGCAGAGGCGCTCCTCACATCCCAAACAATGGGCGGCCAGACAGAGATGCTCCTCACTTCCCAGACGGGGTGGCGGCCAGGCAGAGGCACTCCTCACTTCCCAGACGGGTCGGCCGGGCAGAGGGGCTCCTCACATCCCAGACTATGGGCGGCCAGGCAGAGACGCTGCTCACTTCCTAGACAGGGTGGCGGGTGGGCAGAGGCTGTAATCTTAGCACTTTGGGAGGCCAAGGCAGGCGGCTGGGAGGTGAAGGTTGTAGCAAGCAGAGATCCCACCACTGCACTCCAGCCTGCTGTCTTTGTCTGTTCTTTCATTTATGAGAGGAATCCATCGACTTGTTACCTTATCAATAGAATGCTTGTTGTTAACGGCATACACTATACAGACGACATTAGCCTGAGATATTTCTTGATGAAGTTGTTCATCACTCTGTTCTGCTTCTGAGTAATCTATAATGTGTGTTGGAACTCTCTCTGGGGTGACATCAGCTGGAATGGTGATTTCTTCTGCCCGGGGAGGAACCTCTTCTGGAAATTCTTCACTGACCAGACATAATCAGTGACGTCTTCCCAACTCTAGGTTCTCCTACCAGCAGGATCCGCACGTCTTTCTTCATGTCGGCGGCTCTCGGGGGATGGCCTCCGCCCACATGCATGGAGTGGACTCCTCTCACCAGGAGCACCCACCCCAAGGCGCCCCCTCAGTTGCTTCCCCGCAAGAGAGCCGGGACAGCACCAGCTCTGCTTCCTCCAGCCCAGCAGGCTGCAGTGGCGGCGGCGGCCGGAACTTATCTTTTAAGGTATTGAATTTAATTTGCATTTTAGAAAGTTGTTCAGTAAGAAACTAATTCTTATCTTCTACTTCGGAAATATCAGAACTCATTTTTACTTGTTCAGAAACATCTTGTGTTCTCTCTAAAGCAAGTTTCAGGTTTCTTTCTGTTTTCACATTTTCACTGTGTTTACTTATAGCAGCAGCCAGTCTAGACTGATAAGATTCAATTTCAGCTTCCAGTTTTTTCTTGCTTTCTTTTTCCTTCAACAGTTCAGAATTGAGCCTTGTATTCTCAGCTTTGAGATCATTAAGCTCTTGTTGATACCGGAATGCTGTTTTTGTTATCATTTCCTCATTGAGTTTTATACACTTTTCAAGGGCAGCATTTGTTTCTTTAGCAATTTTAATGTCCTTAAGATATTTATTTTCTTTTTCCAGGTTGTCATTTTTCATTATGCATATTTCCTGTCTGAGTATAGCAATATCTGTCTTCAAAATGCAATTTTCATCCATCAGATCTTTCATTTCTTCATGATTATGAAAATCCTAAATAAAACAACAGAAAGTTTTAGCTAGTACTCAATAAAATAACATATCATGATTACCTCTGAAGTTAAAGAATAACCTGCACATCCATGCACTAAAAAGGTTACTGTAAGTGGATATCCAACTGGAGAAAAAGTTGAAGCAAAATTTTGAACCTTATAGAGCATAAATTCCAAAAAGTTCAGAAATTTATTTAAAGTCAATGAATTTATAAAAGTAAACACACACACACACATGCACACCAGAGAATTTTTAAGAATTTCAGAATTGGAAAAGCCTTTCCCTGAATTACAACAAACTCAAAAGTATAAATTAAAGCATTAACAAATTTGACTAAATTAAAATATGTCAAAAAATTGCATTTACACTTTGATATCTAACCTATACACCACCCTATAGTAAGAACCTTAGTTCACACGTATTTGGACAGATGAAATTTCCCAGAGTTATTACAGTTCTGTTTCACTGATAACATTCTATTCCAATTTGACTCTTTTAACACTTTTATAGTCAGTTATAAGAATTACATTTACTAACATAAATCTACACATTATACTAGTCACTCCTATATACATTCATTGATGAACTCATCTAGTTACCATAATTTTGAGAAAGAAAGGTTAAAAATATAAGCAAGCTACAGGATTTTCCCCAGGACTTCTGACTCTACTTCTAGTTCTCCAACAGATCACAGTTACTTCTGTGGTGTAAATATATCCATACGAAAGAAAACTTTTATTTCAAAACACCAGTGGTAAATAAGATAAAATTTATAGACCTCTTCTAAGAATATCATGAGATTATTTGTGATTGCAATAATTTCTGTTTCTTCTTTATAATATTAGGTACAGTAATCAATATGAAATAGGGGAAAGTACAAGAACAATTTTACTGGGAACAAAATCTTTATCAATAAGTTATCACTAAGTATATATTATGGCATATTATTGTTTTCAAAAGCTCTTTGTAATAAAATAATATCCTATGTGGATGCCAAGATTTATAATATATATTAATAATTGTACCTGTAAGTGTCATCACTCATTTTTAAAAATGAGATAACATTTCTGGTTTGTTTTTTACCTAAATAATATATATTAAATCAAGTGGATATTGTAAGTAACACTGATAAAATAAAGTTTAAAATATAGAATTTTTACCAAAGATTGATTTACCTGATTTGGAGTATTTCTTGCAGTCTTCGGTTTCATCTCTAGTGATTGAACAGTTGGTTCAAGTTGTTTTGCTTCAACTTCTTTGTTATATTGTTTCTCTTTCCTTTCTAATTCTTCTCTATTTTTTTTGTACAGCATATTAACATTTGTTTTTTCTTCATTTTCTTGTTGTAAGGTGCATCTGCAGATAAAGACATTTATCTTGAAATTCATTTTGTTAAAAAATAAAGAGTTCATCCTGTTATCTACCTCTGCAGATGTTGTTTATTATCCTAATAAAATTTCTATGTTCTGGATTATTTTTCCTTTGCAGTTCTCAGATATTTAAATTCTCACTTCAACATCTTCAAAAGAATGCATATACTTGAGAAGTAGTAAGGAAAGAATATTCTGCTAAAGGTTTTATTACTAGTGACTCTAGTATATATTATAAAAAAGGATACTGGAGATAATTCAGTAAAGTTACAAGTTCAAAATTACCTTTTCAAATCACACAGTCATAATTACTCCCTAATTAGAAAAGGTCATTTACAATCAACTAAAATTTTAAAGTTACTATTTACTGACAAGTGTATAAGTTCACTAGAAATAAATTTTCATCTTTACGAAATATTGCGGGTGTCTCTCCAAATGATTTACAGAGTAAGATGTCTCTCACAAAAACTATATCTGCAAATGACTGTCATCCAAAACTAGGCTAAAGAGTCTAACATCTGTTACCTCACACTTTTTATAATTCTTTCTTAATACTTTCAATTCACCTTCTTATTACATATATTTTATATATTAATTAGCCTATTGTTCATTATGTGTAATATATAATTAATGCCCTTAATAAGTTTGTGTATGTTTACACAAGTTATGTTTTCCTGGGAAATCTAGTCCCAGAAGTGGAGTTGTTGAGTTAAAGGGATGTCAGGTTATTTGAAATTTTGATACACAGCACTAAGTTACCCTTCACAAATAATTTACCAATTTCATATACCAACAGTGTATGAGAATGCCTTTTTCCTCACATTTGCCAACATGAGTAATTACTTTTTAAATATCAGCATGACTTTACAAAATATATCTTATTTTATGTTAATTTACATTTTTCTGATTACCAGACAGGGCTAAATATCCCTGGTAAAAATATAAAACTTGTTAATCATAAGGAATATTAGTCCAATTTTGAATTAGTTTATAGCACAATGACAATTATCTCCTGTGAAATACTGCTATAGGTGGCCAGGCACAGTGGCTCACTCCTGTAAACCCAGCACTTTGGGAGGCTGAGATGGGCAGAACACCTGAGGTCAGGAGTTCCAGACCAGCCTGGTTAACATGGTGAAACCTCATTTCTACTAAAAATACAAAAAATTAGCCGGGCATGGTGGCACATCCCTGTAATCTCAGCTACTAGGGAGGCTGAGTCAGGAGAATCACTTGAACCCAGTAGGCAGAGGTTGCAGTGAGGGAAGAACACACCATTGCACTCCAGCTTGGGCAACAAGAGAGAAACTCCATCTCAAAAAAAAAAAAAAACCCAAACAAAACAAAACAAAACAAACACACTGCAATAGGCTTACTTACCTATCATGCTCTTCCTTCAGTTTCTTGGGAAATTGCTGAGGCTGTTTTCCTAATCTTTCTTTGTTGGGTTAATCTGTCAGCAGCAGCAGAAGATGTACTATGACATATATTTTCTGATAGTTGTATTTTTTCACTTTTGTATGTATTATTTCCTTCTTTGACCTTTAATAAAAGTAATATGAATAATAATTATTATTTTATTCATAAAAAGAACTTTTTCCCTGATTTTTTCACTTGATTCAGGTTAACTATCACCATTTTAATGATAAAGGTATTTTGTGCTTACTTTAATTTTATCATTATACATAATTATTATAATTATAAGGTACTCACCATTTTATCAATGAAATTTTTGTCAAGTCTGCTCATTTCTGTTTGAGTGAATGGAAGAATTTTCCAAAATTTTAAAAAGTCCTCTTCTCCATTTTGTGCTTTTATTCCCATCCACTCTTTGCTATCTGACATAAATGTTTATGCTATCTGACTGGCAGAAACAGAGAAATAAAAAGACACAGGCATAACATATGTCTTCTGTCTTTACCACCTGGATTTTACATGAAATAGCCAGATTTAGAGGATGTGACTTTGTAGGGCTTCAGGAACAGTAAAGAAGATTTCCCTTTTCTGCACTAAGCTATTCTTTTCCCCAGTGCCTTTTATCTCTCTTTTTTTTTTTTTTTTTTGAATCCTGGGATATCAAAAAAGTAAAGGTGCTCCCTGAACTATGGGAACCAAAGTTTGCCACAACACAAGAAGCAGAGTGAAACTGCTGAGTTTCTAGTGCAGAATTCTGGAAAACGACATGCTTCCCAGATTTCACATTCTATTACCACAAAAGTTTATAGGTGGAAAACATAGGATACAGTTACCTACTTTAGCCCCATTATCTACTGATAATGGGAGTCAAACCAACCAAGACATATTAAATGTTTCATCCAGAGCTCTTGAGGTGGCATTCCCTAGCATTTCATGGCACCATATAACATGATACAATTCCATATTGCTGAATTACATATATTACCAGATAAATTTATCAAATTAAATATATTAAAAGTCTAACTTGAGCAAAGCAATTTAATGCCTCAGAGGGTGGAAAAAGGCCTCATCTGCTTTTACTTTGAAAGAAGAAAATCTCTAGATTTTTGTCTATCTTTAGAACACAATGTACAGAACTCAGCTTTCTACTAAAGAGTCAAAGGCTAAATTTTTGACTAAGAAATTATGCTTCTTACATGATAAAAATCATACATGCCAAAACTTACCATACTTTATTAAACAACATAATGTAAGGTCTGATTCAACAGAAATATTGGAGAGTGGTGATTTTTAAAAATATGTGGAAGTATATATTTGTTTTCAAAATATTGGAAATAACCATGATGGGACTATAAGTTCAAGCAGTTTGAGCTAAGCAGATAAACTTGCATGCATGAAAACATATTAAACAGACTCATTTGGCTGGGAATATTCGTTGCAACTCTCAAGGCTAGACGTGTTTTTGTGGCTCATCTCAGTCATTGCTTCCCTCCCATTGTATTACCATTCTATCATTAAATAAATGTAATTCATCTCTAAATGAATACAGAAAAAAGAATCTAGAATCTAGAGCTTATTTCTTTAGCAATTTCTTTATGTTGATCTGGTTCATAAAGGTCACATGGTATATGGCTGAATTAGTTTCCCAGCTCATACGCCACTTGGAAGACTGATAGGAAGACTTAGGTTGATTAATGAACAAACATTATGAGAACATTCTCCAGAACCATTATTTAGATAGCAAAACTAATCTACTTTGACACACAATTACACATTTAGATAACCCCACTGTAACTGTACACATGAGATTTTCTTGAATAGAAAATCTGACTAAATCAAATAATTGACAAAGAGAAAAAAGCAGCAGCAAGTGAACCTCTGTCTTTTTGAAGTTGGACTTTCTCTTTTTCCAAAGCCAGGAACTCTACTTGTAACATGCTACCTCATTCTTTTTTACTATTTATTATACTTTTAAGTTCTGGTACATGTGCACAACGTGCAGGTTTGTTACATATGTATACATGTGCCATGTTGGTGACCTTGGAATATCTTGCTGTGTCTTCTAGCTATATTTTTGATGTTCTCTCACTATGTGGCAAAGAATAAACCCACACTTTATAATTCAAGATTCATGCTTTTGTAGTTATTAGCACTGGGATTGTCATATAGTGGCTTCTGGAGTAAGCACTGTATTGGTTTTCTGTTTTTATAAGTATCTGTAGCAGCAGAAATACTGTGGCTTTCTATCTGAATCATATGCTTCATTTCTTTGGGGTGGGTAAACCACAAATCAAAAAGACTTTCTGGATCTCTAGACTGAGGCCAATGCCTAATGTCTAATTTCCAATTAGTGGTATTTGGGTTTGTATTTTTTGCCATTTGCATGTGAAACTCTTAATCATCTTTCATTTCAATCATAATTACTGGGTTCCTTAATGTTTCAGTTTCTGTATCATTACAAAAATTTTCATCATCTGTGTTAGAAACAAGCTATGTGTCTGGTTTGTTATCATTTTCATAGTCTGATTTATTTTCATTTAAATGAAGCTTAGAAGATGACTGGTAAGTGTATTTCAGGGACCTGGAGTGTGAATGGAATAAAAAGACATTTGACATGGGATTCCTCTATTCAGGTGCTGCTTGGAATGCCACAGAGTTAGACCCTCCAGATGCATTTTTCTCCTCACAATCAGGGACCTGATTCATCAGATCAGAGGGCACTCCTTTTTCGTTCATCCCTCTTTAGAGTTACTATGTAGAAGCTCTTCCTCAGGGCAAGCAGTAATTTTGGAGTTTCCAAAACCTTTACCAATATTCAGCTTGAACTTGTTTGTAATGAATTTTAAAGAAAGTCGTGAATATACAGATAGATTCCCTTTATCACAATTCTTACCCAGTTCTGGTTCTTGAGGCTTTTTTTTTTTTTTTTTTTTTTTGGCAGGTGCAAAATGGAAAACAAATTTGCTTGTTTTGTTTCTCAGATGTCTTTTCTGTCAGAGTGCATGTTCTAAAATTAGCTTTAATCAAGTATAAACAAATATTAGAAAATAATTAAAATTTAACTGTGAAACTTAATCTGCGTGTTGCCACTCTTCAATTATGGGATTGTAACTAAAAAGTGAAAAATAATTTGCCTTGGCTTAACATAGGACAGAAACATAAACCGGCAAGCTGAACTCTCAGTGTTTGTTTGGACTAAACTTAATGCATTATGTGTAAAGTCTACCAGAAATGAATTCAAAGATGATAGGTAGTATTATAAAAGCTTCCTCTCTTACAAAGACTTTACCTCAGCATACCAGAAAGAGTGAGCCCCTACAGTGCATGTATATTTCTGAAGATTAACTAGAGACTAGGCAAACACTAAATTATTAAGAGCCAAACTGAACACCAATAAGAAAGAGAAGCAAAATTTTAAATTCTAATTCAAATGATATACTATGATATCCACTTCTAATATATTTTAAGTTCCAGTAGTGATAGTGTTTGGATTTTTTTAATTTTAGTAATATTTACTATGTATTTATGTTGAAATAAAGTTATTGTTTGTACCCTGATACCAAAGGTCCCATTCTGCAAGGTAGGATTCTCTTAAAAGGCAACTGGGTTGGTTTTTATGACCCCATTCACTCCCTGAACACAGACACAGAAGTCAACTGGTGACCACAAAACAGAATAAATCTTTAACCTCGGCACTGATGACCAGCAATATAAAACTGCAACATTTGAACCATTGGCAATGATGACTCTTTTAACACTAGTTTAACTCAGCGGCCATCGTTATTAAATTGTTCATAATTTCTATTCCTTAGTAATATGACCCAATATTTCATGTTACCTTCTGTATTATGAGTAAGGTTATACAAATAAAAGAGCAAGATAATTGTGAAAAATTCTTGCCTCAATTCCAAGGGTAAAGACAGCTATGAGTTACTAGAGATAGTAAGAATTACTAGAATAATGAATAAGTTACTAGAGATAGTAAGAATATCTTAAGTTTCATAACTGGTTAAAATGTTTTAAAAATTAAATATAAAATTATGATCTATTGGATTCTAAAGGTATAGTCTAAAAGGTCATGTCATTTGGACTATGCTTTGTTACTAAAGCAAAAAAAAACCTAATATTAAACAAGAAACTTAAATTTTCATATACCTGTGGTTGCTTCTTTTCACTTCTTTCACGTCTTTGTTGCTCTTCCTCTGAAGCCACTGGTAAGGCTTGTTCTGTTGACAAATTCATTGGTTTAGTTCAAATGAACTAAGAACAGTTAGATAAAGACTATAATCTTTATAAAAATAAATAGAAAATAACATTTCTTCGTATTTTATATTTTGAGGGTTTAAATGAAGCTTAATGTTTACTGAAATATTTACTTCTTTAAGAAATACTTCTAATTATCCAAAACTTCAACAAACCATTTGGGGAGACACTAGATATCACCAGGTTCAAGCCATACAAAATCTCAGGGTCACTCACAAATTGTTCCACCCAACATAAATCAACAAAACTGTTGGAAACAAAACAAAATTTTGAAATACAGTCAAAATATACAATGTACATAACAGTATCTTTTTAACAAGACACTAATTGAGTTGGCAGTTACTAATTTGCAAAATTATTGTTTATATCTTAATTAGTGTGCACACCATTTTTTACATCGCAAATGTTTTCCCCCTGCTATTCTGAAAAATTTATTTTCATCTTTTAAGACTCAGAAAGTAGGCTGGACATAATAGCTCACATCTGTAATCCCAGCACTTTGGAAGGCCAAAATAGGAGAATTACTCGAGGCCAAGACTGTAAGACCAGCCTGGAAACCATAGATAACCTTGACTCTACAAAAAATTAGGCAGGTATGGTGATATGTGCCTGTAGTCCCAGCCACTCAAGAAGTTCAGGTGAGAAGATCCCTCGAGCCCAGGAGTTTGAGGTTGCAGTGAGTTTCAATCACGCCATTGCACTCCACCCTGGGTGATAGAGTAAGAACTTGTCTCCAACAACAGAAAAAGAGAAAAAAAAAGGCTCAGAATGCTGTGTGAAGTCTTCCTTGATTCTAGCTATCTTTCTCCACACACACAGGTGTCTGTTTCATTGCGGTCCCTTAGTACTTTGTCAATTTTTCTAGTGTCACTTTACCACCTGAACTGCACATCATGTCTTTACATGTCAATCCCCTTTGCTGCTAGACTGTAGAGGACAATCTTTTGAATCATCTTTGTATAAACAGTCTTAATTTTGCTAAATAATTACTTATTGAGTTCCTGCTAAGTGTTAGGCACTGGGGTATAAGGAAGGAACATAAAAGCTGTCAGGGATGGCTTTCCTAAAGATCATGCATGAGCTGAGAATTAGAGAGTGAGGTTCGCCAGATTAAGTGAGGCAGAGGGCAGGAAAGGGTTAGCACATGCCAGGCAGCAACAAGAGAGGGAGAGAAGCCTCCAAGAGAGTATGTATTTCTCTGCAAAAGAGGAATGGTGAGGGGGCCATTACCAGCAGCTGAGTAATTCCAGAGAAAAAGGCAGATGGGGAAAGGGCTACGGATAGAGATTTGGGCAGAAATCAGTTTCCTTTTCTTTTCTTTTTTTGGGACAAGGTCTTACTCTGTCTCCCAGACTGGAGCACAGTAGCATGATCTTGGCTCACTGCAACCCGGTCTCCTGGGTTCAAGTAATTCTTCTGCCTCAGCCTCCGGAGTAGCTGAGATTACAGGTGCATGCCACCACCACCTGCTATTTTTTGTGTTTTATTAGAGATGGGGTTTCACCTTGTTGGCCAGGCTGGTCTTGAACTCCTGACCTCAAATGATCCACCTGCCTCAGCCTCCCAAAGTGCTGGGATCACAGACATGAGCCACCGTGCCCAACCCAGAAGTCAGTTTCTGAAATCCTTATATAAAGCTTTAAGATGCTTGGACATTAGGTATTCAGGAGTGGTTCATGGATCTATTTACATTAGAGATAATTAACTCTAAATACTGTGAGGAGCATAAAATTCTGAGGCATATAAATAAATGAACAAAGATAAAATATGGCAATGTTGCAAAGATGATGCAGGCCTGAGGAGATGTTTTCAGAAATGATTAGGATACAAGTATCAGTGGCCATTATAAGAATGAATTTTTATTGAATGAATAAATGTATATATCCAGGTCCCTGGAGAAATACCCTCTGCTCATTACTTTACAAATTTTATCAAATGAGAAGTAAGATAATATACATAAACTGTTTCAGTTACTTGTATTTACTTTACACTTTTTCTGTTTCAGTTTTACTGTGCCAAGGAAATGCATTTGGGTTTTGTGTTGGTTGTTGTTGTTGTCATTGTTGTTGTTTTTTGAGATGGAGTTTCACTCTTCCTGCCCAGGCTGAAGTACAGTGGTATGATCTCAGCTCACCACAACCTTTGCTTCCCAGGTTCAAGCGATTCTCCTTGCCTCAGCCTCCCAAGTAGCTGGAATTACAGGTATTTGCCACCATGAACAGCTAATTTTGTGTTTTTAGTAGAGATGTGTTTTTCCATGTTGGTCAGGCTGGTCTCAAACTCCCAATCTCAGGTTATCCACCCGCCTCAGCCTCCCAAAGTGCTGGGATTACAGGCACGAGCCACCGCGCCCAGCCACATATGGGGATTTTGTTTTAAAAGTTCTGTTTCCTGGATCTACCAAGCTCATGAGAAAATAGAAGCAAACAAGTCATCTGCATAAGTAACAAACTTTGGATTTATAGCTTGTCATCACTACTCTAGAAGATTATCATCATGTTTTATAAAACAAAATGTTAATTCTAGACATAAGGGGAAAAAGAAATTAAAACTATAGGGGTGGGGGAAAATATTGCATAATTTATTACTGTTGACCTGATCATATGACTGATTAAGGGCACTGAATTTAACTTGTATGTGAAGTAGACCCCACATTAGCTGCAGTTAATCAGTAGACCAGGTGTTCTAGCAGAATTAAATTTGATGCTCCTGTGTTATCTTTAAATGACACAGCTCTTCTGAAAACCGTACTCCTAGTGTATGATTATCCATTAAGACAAGGTGATGGAATGTGTGAATACAGCTGAGGAGACACCACAAGGCAAATGCTCAATGGTTCCCATTAATATTGGGAAAATCAACACTATAAAACAGAAAGCCATAGGCATTATTTAATATTTGGTTTGGGAAGGTATTTTTAGTGACACTGCATACAGTTGTACTGAATAATTGCAAAATTAGAGATATAAAAATAAAACAAAGGCACATTGTGTTTGAGTAGGGAATCTGTAGATGTCTAGCTGGTTTTCCCATCCAGTCCCAAAATTCTAAATATAATCATGGTACCCACACTCAAATTTATGTTAAATAACAACCTCAATGAAATCACTCTTTCTCCTCATTCTCTTTATTTATATGTTGCTTTCCTTAAGGGAAGAATACAAATGCCTTGCTAAGAACCATTCTGTTTGGTTGTAGCCTGCATAAGGGGAGTAAACACAAAGTACCTTTGATCACAAAATGACTTTTTAAAAGTCAGAACTATGGTAGCATGAAGCCAACCGAGGTAATCTAGAATAAAATTTTCTATGCTTCTTTCCCTTCTTTGCTCTCTTTCTACTCTAATAACTGCGATTCATGCAGGCAATGAAGAGTATAATTCCCTGATAGAAACACAGCTCCAAAATTAATCCTTTCTTTAACTATGAAGTTCGCGTGTCCAAAGTCTGTAGTTGCTGTCTGATTTTTGATCACGGATGGCGATACAGATATTTATCGTCAACTCACAACTTCCCAAATCTTTGAAAAGTCTTACTATTGATGGTTCAACTAGTAGAAACATAATCTAAAATATCTGAAAATAAAGTTTTTATTTATTAGAATGTAAATAGTAATACAAATTGTAATAAGTTGTAAAAGTTCTTTCTTCACTGAAGCAGTACCATGTTGTCTTCTACCCCACAAACACACCACTCCCTCATGGTCTAACATATTTTAAAAGTCCTGTAATTGCTATTAACTCAGACAAGTTTACTTAACTTGTTCTAAGCTTCTGTTATTTACTACAATTTACTTTCAATCACTCAACGATCTCTATTATATATGTTGTTTTCAATGAGAAATTTGTTTATTAGTAATTAAGATTCTTTAGGGATAAGAAAATATTTGAATAACTAAGTTTGTGCATAAACACATAAAGGTCAAATACCCATGACATTATTGTGTATTTCTATGTACTAGAGACAAAAACTTCAAAAAAAATTTTAATGAATATACATTAAATTAAAAACTGCTTTCATTAAACTGATATAATCTTCCCTCAATGCATGAAAGCCTTCAGAATTCACATAAACCAAAGAATTGTATAAAATATAATAGCCTTAAAAATCTTATTTGTAGCTGGCACAGTGGCTCCCGCCTGTAATCCCAGCACATTGGCAAGCCGAGGTGGGCAGATCACCTGAGGTCAGGAGTTTGAGAGCAGCCTGGCCAACATGGTGAAACCCCATCTCTACTAAAAATAGAAAAATTAGCAGGGTATGGTAGCACGTGCAAGTAGTATCGGCTATTCAAGGGGCTGAGGCAGGAGAATTGCTTGAACCTGAGAGGCAGAGGTGGTAATGAGCCAAGACTGAGCCACTGCACTCCAGCCTTGGTGACAGAGCAAGACTCTGTCTCAAAAACACAAACGAACAAACAAAAAACATAATTGTTCCCATATAAGTCTATGTTCACAAAAGATCTGAAGAGTACACACCACCGTGAGACAGGACAGACATATATTTTAAAAGTTATATTCCTGGTTTCTGTAAAAATAAAACGGTTGAATTTAAGCTTTTAAGACAAGTCAAGGAAAAGAGCAAAAAATGCAAAAGTGAAACTTGAAAGGTCATTTCCCCATCAAGGGCTCATGATCACTGGACATTCACAAACTATATTGTTCAAAACATTAGTTCTGAATTTTGATCCGAGTATCCCTGGAGTTTCAGTTTCATTCAAGGATGTCCAAGAGGTCAAATAAGACAATATCATTTGCTATTTTCAGTTTTCTTTTCTGAGAATAGCACAGCAAACTTCTTCAGAGAAATGAATTGTCCTAACTTCATAGGCTAAAGGCTCATGAGTCACAGTTCTAAGGACATTTATAAAATATGGTGGTGCATGCTTGTATTCTGAACTTTTCAACTTTAAACTCTCATGTAGTAAATATTAATTTATACAAACTGACTAAAGAAAAGCCCTCTTAATCTGACATTATTTTTATTTTTCTTTCTTTCTTCATTTATCAGCAACAGGAGAGTCTAACTAAATGTGGTAAAGTGGTATAAGGGAATACAATGAAAAGTATAAAATGAATTAAACCAGAGATAATCATATCAATGTGGATACATCTGGAAAACATAATACAAAATACACCAAAGAAAGTGGCAGAAAGGTATGTAAAGTGTATAACCACTCACATACCATTTTGGGACACAAATAAAAAATTCTGCATATTATTTCTGAGCATCACAATATAGTTAAAGATTTCAAAAGGGCATTGAAATGAAAAACAACCAACTTATGATGTTGGTAGCCGCTATGCAATCACGTTTTAAAAACCTTAACACCAAAAAGGCTCAAAATCACCGTTTTAAAAGACTGTGTCTACCAGTTATAAATGAATAATTACTTTCCTCATTTTTAGTAGTCAAAGATGCCACAAACACACACATACACACACCTATACATCCACATCCACACACAGTCTTGCTCACTAGAACATCTGATTGGCTTCAGATCATCAGTGTAATAACACTAGCAGCAAGCCTCTAAAGTTAAAACAGAAACTGACACGTTAATAAGAAAAGCTTTCCTCTACGTAAAGATCAGAGCGCCAACTAGCACATAAATCAATGGAAATATCTTAGAGTCTCAAAATTCAGTGCTTTTAATCCCTGACAAGTATAAAAATTTTATACTGAAAACTTCATGCTATTCAAAACATTAAAAGAGAAACATCTGAGTTAAAGCTTACATTTTTAAAATCTTTTTTATGCTTCTAAATTTATTGTTATTCAAATATGGATACCAACAATAACATTTACGTCAATGCCTTCCATTCAGTTTTGAACAAACAGAATTAGGGGTAAGAATAATGTGAGTACTTCCAATCATTGAATGTACTTATTTCCGGCATTCCATTTGTATTGAATATGTACCTGCTCTCAATGTCTGTACATTCTTTCTTTGTACTGCTCCTTTCACAGCAGGATCTTCCATTTCAGTGCTAGGCTGAATGGGTTTTAAAAGAAAATGATTCATAAATCATATATATTTTATACAATGTGGAGTTAGTGATTCAAAAAATATACATAATTAATTACCTTCAAGGAAGGATGTTTTGCAGGAGGCCCTACAAAGCAAAAGGGATATGTCATCAATTATATGTAAGTATGACAGGGCCAACCATTCATGCAGTGTTACTATCGAGCTGAATTCTCATGCCTGGCTATGAAAATAATTACTTAAGGTTTTGAGGGTTCTTCTTGGCTTCTTCTTTTCATTGCCTAGGACAGCAACATGACAGAAACCTAATGAGGAAAATAGGAATACAGGATTCCTAAAATGCACAGCTTACATTTCAGTAGTGAGATTATGTTTCAAATGTCTATACCTAAAATAGAAAAGCATGGATATCACTGTGAACACGTGGGCTGATGAGGAGAAAAGGGACCACTAAACAGAGGAGCAAATCAAACCTGAGGGAATCGATGTCAAAGCTGATGGTGAATGTACAGAGTATTTTAACTCAACACATCAGAGGCATTGCTGCCAGCACACCACAGATAAATTCCCCTTGTCCTGTCGCTGAGGAAATACACAGTTGGGATGACAGTTCAGGTGAATGTGTGATTCACCTCTCATCAAAGAAAGTGTTCTACATTGATCAGCTAGGACGCACACTTATGAAATAACAGCTAATCAAAATACTCATTTTTCCCATGATCACATGGGCTACTGCAGCACCTACATTTCTCCTATCCCCTCATTTGGCCTTGAGTTAGAGCTCCTTGATCCACTTGTGCGAGGTGGTCCATAAAACACATCAAATAAACCATGTCGAATAAGCTTCCAATATCAAAATATTTATCAAAAAAGAAAACACTGAATTACCACAGACTTGCTGGATACGAATACACATTTATATTTCAAAATCAGTGCAGTACTTATTGAAAATGAGTATTTTGGTATTCACAGAATGAATTTTATAATACAATTGCTTCTAAAATTAACTAAGTTTGGTATATCATCTTACACTGTAAAGGACTTTTATAAAGCAGCTATCATATCAAAGAACTGGCTGTCTCAAAAAAAATTAGCCAAAGCATCTATATGCAACTTAATCACATCTTATTCACTCATGTCAATGAAACTTCTCTCTCTGAGGCCTGACAATTATGAAGTGAAATGAGCTGCTGTGGTTTACCCCAATTCTAGCACTCCCTCCTGCCTCCAGTACTCTCCACAGCAATAACCTCTTTTGTGAGACTGGGCATATGCTGAAGCAACTGGAAGTGAGTTGTCTCAAGTTTACTTGGCTTTAACTCCCAAGACCCCAGCAAATGTCTTTCTTTCCTCCCTCTGTGTCCTTTCACAATCCCTCTTCCTTTGAAAAAGTGATTTTTAGATCTGTCATCCTGATGCTTCCCTTCCTAACTGCTTTTTATGGATAATTGTGACCACTTTTTTCATCTGTATTCAGCAGTAGTATACACCTGTAATCTCTCTTTTTTCATCTCATTTTCCTTCCCCTGTGGCTAGAATCGTGCTCAGAAATAAAAGGAAATTAATGCTTTCCCTGGATTCTGCTATTATTCAAATTGCTCTCCAGTGGTTCTTTTTCCAGATTTCTCTAAAGGAAGGCTATTCCCTTGCTATTCAGAGCTGTGTCCAAGGACCAGCAACAACATCACCTGAGTACTCATGAGAAATGCAGACTCCTATACCTGCTAAATCAGAATGTGCAGTTTCCAGAAGTTCCTCAACTAATTCATGACTATCTGAATGCCCTGTTTTACACTTTATGTGCTTCCATATTAGTTTACCCTAATTGCCCTTTTTGGCCTAGACTCAATTTCTTCCCTATTATGTCTCTGAATTTAATACTACATTATAAGCCATAATGTTTCTAATGAACTTTTAATCAGGTAATACCTTCTCTAATTAATTTCTTCTCCATACATCACCCAACACTATTATTTTCAATTATGTTAATTTGGCCTATATGATACTATCCTATGAGGTTACAACATTTTCTTTAAAACCAAATTATAGCCATACATGGCTGACCATTTATGGTGATGTTCATCTATGGTAGATAAAACACAGGTCTGTGTGGTAAAATACCTCAATCCTTAATGCCTCCCCAGTAGTGAGGATGACAGCAAGAGTAGGAAAATGTTACTCTAATTCTCTGACATATGTTGGTACGGGAAGCTCACTTTATCTTCCTTCCTATTCCTAACACCCTGTTCTTCCTTCTTCTACAGATCAATTAGACTTTACTACCCTCTATTACATACATCCGCATATGTGTTTTTATTTATTCCATGTATACTCTGCCCTCCTCATCTTTCTTTCTCTTTTATTCATTTCCTCTTCCCTCTCTCCTGACTTGCCTCAGGTCTTAGAGTATCTTAAAATGGAACCCACAACTCAGCTCCTTTAGTGGTACTCCCAATAGAATCAACTGCTGACCCTTGGTTAGAGACACAACTTATCACCATTTCACTTCTCCTTTACTTATTATACAGTTAATAGGACATTTTCTTTAGCTATTAGACTCTATTAGTGCTCATATTTTCAAAGAAACATTCCATCAAATGACTTTTTTTTTTTTTTTTTGAGACAGAGTCTCACTCTGACATCCAGGCTGGAGTGCAGTGGAGTGATCTCCGTTTACTGCAAGCTCCGCCTCCCAGGTTCACACCATCCTCCTGCCTCAGCCTCCCAAGTAGCTGGGACTACAGGGGCCCGCCACCACACCTGGCTAATTTTTTGTATTTTTAGTAGAGATGGGGTTTCACCATGTTAGCCAGGATTATCCCGATCTCCTGACCTTGTGATCCGCCCACCTCGGCCTCCCAAAGTGCTGGGATTACAGGTGTGAGCCACTGCACCCAGCCTCCAACAAATGACTTTTTAAATAAAATACAGTTCTCACCTTCTCCTTTTCCATTGACTATTCTGTTTTCCTTTTCCATGGGAAGGTCCACATAAAGGCTCTGACACTTTCTCGGGGACACACTGCTAAGGTAATATCAAGAATTAGTTTCCATTTTAAAATTATGAGTTGCATCAAGAGCTTCTTATCAATCTCTTTTTATGAAACTGGGTCTCACTCTGTCAACCAAGGGCTAGAATGCAGGGGCCTGATTATGGCTCACTGTGGTCTCAAACTCCTGACCTCAAGCAATCTTCCCACCTCAACTTCCTGAATAGCTGGAACTACAGGTGCATACCATCATGCCATGCTAATGTTTCTATTGTTATCTTTGTAGAAATAAGGCCTCATTATACTGCCCAGGCTGGTCTCAAACTCCTAGGCTCGAGTAAATCTTCGACTTCTGCCTCCCAAAGTGTTGAGATAAGCAGTGTGCACCACCACACCCAGCCCTAATCAATTTCTTTAAATCAGTCTCAATGTTGCCCAGGCATGGTGGCTCACACCTGTAATCTCAGCCCTTTGCAAGGCCAAGGTGGGTGGATTGCTTGAGTTCAGGAGTTTGAGACCTGCCTGGGCAACATAATGAGAACACATCTCTACACAAAAAATACCAAAAGGAGTCAGGCATGATGGTGTGTGCCTGTAGTCCCAGCTGCTTGGGAAGCTGATGTGGGAGGATCACTTGAGCCTGAGAGGTGGAGACTGTAGGGTGCCAAGATCATGCCACTACACTGCAGCCTGGGCAACAGAGCAAGACCCTGACTCCCCAAAAATATCAATTTAAAATGTAAGAATGAAGAGAGATACAAACAAAAAAGAAGCCTAATTGGTCAATGAAATATGAGCTTAAGCCAAGAAAGAAAAGAAACAACATGAAGTACAATAAAGTACATGGGGAAATAGATCTATAACAGAGCCTTTTGGTCTTTCATATCCCTGATAATACTAATTAATATTTATGCTACAATTAGTTTTTTGTAAGTACTTCTGTGATAGAGTTTATTACTATAAGACATTCAATTAGCTAAATATGGTCATCTACCACTACCTGAAAGAACATTATTATAACAGAGAGAGAAAACTGGAACTTTCCATCAACGTTCCACCCAGAAAAAGAATTGGTCACCAGAATTCTAGAGTAATGTATGGCAGACACATGAAAAAATGCTCATCATCACTGGCCATCAGAGAAATGCAAATCAAAACCACAATGAGATACCATCTCACACCAGTTAGAATGGCGATCATTAAAAAGTCAGGAAACAACAGGTGCTGGAGAGGATGTGGAGAAATAGGAACACTTTTACACTGTTGGTAGGACTGTAAACTAGTTCAACCATTGTGGAAGACAGTGTGGTGATTCCTCAAGGATCTAGAACTAGAAATGCCATTTGACCCAGTCATCCCATTATTGGGTATATACCCAAAGGACTATAAATCATGCTGCTATAAAGACACATGCACACGTATGTTTATTGCAGCACTATTCACAATAGCAAAGACTTGGAACCAACCCAAATGTCCAACAATGATAGACTGGATTAAGAAAATGTGGCACATATACATCGTGGAATACTATGCAGCCATAAAAAAGGATGAGTTCATGTCCTTTGTAGGGACATGGATGAAGCTGGAAACCATCATTCTGAGCAAACTGTCACAAGGACAGAAAACCAAACACCACGTGTTCTCACTCATAGGTGGGAAATGAACAATGAGAACACTTAGACACAGGAAGGGGAACATCACACACCAGGGCCTGTTGTGGGGTGGGGGGAGGGGGAAGGGATAGCATTAGGAGATATGTCTAATGTAAATGACGAGTTAATGGGTGCAGCACACCAACATGGCACATGTATACATATGTAACAAACCTGCACGTTGTGCACATGTACCCGAGAACTTAAAATATAATAATAATAATAAAGGGTAATGTATGGCTTGAAAAGGTATATTTAATAGAACCTGAGTTGGGACTAATAAAAAGCTTAAGAAATGTTAATCTAAAATCTCAATGTTAAGATTCCAGTTCAATGATACTAGAAAATATATTGTAACCCTCTTTGCTACTGATGACCTATTTCTAATTTATTTCCTTTTTAATTATGGCATAATTTCTCAACATAACACATCAAAACTTATACTCCCTTAAATATTAAAAAATAATACAAATGTAAGCAATATTTTAAATACAATATTTAATTGTTAGATACATTAGGTATATTATATTACTTATAACATTCCATTATATAAAAATTCATTTGTCTATTTATTCAGATTAAACAACTATTAAGGCTGAATGTCTCATGCCTGTAACCCCAGCACTTTGAGAGGCTGAGGCGGGCAGAACACTTGAGCCCAACAGTTAAAGACCAGCCTGGGCAACAAGGCAAAACCCTGTCTCTACAAAACTCGGCCGAGCATGGTGACACAGGTCTATGGTGACATAGCTCTACTGTTTCAACTACTTGGATGGCTGAAGTGTGAGGATCTCCTGAGCCCAGGAAATGGAGATTGGAGTGAGCCAAGATCTCACCAGTGCCCTCCAGCCTGGGTGACAGAGTGAAACCCCATCTCAAAAAACAACAAGTAAAATGCTTCTTACATGGAAGACTATATTCTAGGTACTCCAGGATACACACAAATATGTTTACTGACCTCCAGTAGCCTATAGTATGCAGGAGCTTCCAATGATTATTTAAACAACTAAATAGAAAACCTTCTGACATTCAAAATTTCAGAATAGGATATAAGGACTTTGAGTGGTTATTTTATTTTTTAAGATGTAGTCTTGCTCTGTCACCCAGGCTGGAGTGCAATGGTGCGATCTTGGCTCACTGCAACCTCCGCCTCCCAGGTTCAAGCGATTCTCCCACCGTGGCCTCCTGAGCAGCTGGGATTACAGGCATGCACCATCACGCCTGGTTAATTTTTGTGCTTTTTTTTTTTTTTTTTTTAAAGACAGGGTTTCACCATGTTGGCCAGGCTGATCTTGAACTCCTGACCTCAGGTGATCTACCCACCTCGGCCTCCAAAAGTGCTGGGATTACAGGTGTGAGCCACCACGTCTGGCCAACTAAATATTTTAAATAAACTACAATGACAAAATTATGATGATAAAGTCTTACCATATTGGTATTAAGAGTCTCTGCTTCTAGAACTGGTTATTTGCAGCAAAATACATGTTATTCAATTAGATGAAGTGTTTTATATAAACTCTTCATGGACAACTCATAAAACACACAAAAATCCCTTCGCAATACAAATTTTGAGAACATAAATTTAAATTTCTATGTTTCCACAATTTATATTTTTAAATCAGATACAGTCTTGTTATGTTGCCCAGGCTGTTCTCAAACTCCTGGGCTCAAGCAATCTTCCTGCATCAAACTCCCAAGTAGCAGGGACTACAGGTGTACACCACCACACTCAGCTATTTTTCTACAATTTTTAATATTATTTTAGTCTCACTATAGAACCAATAATATAAGTAGAGAAACAATCTCTCCTAAAAACTATATGATACCAAAATAATAAGTTTCCAAGAAGAAAAGCTATATGCTATGTGCTGAACCTTTTTGCAACTAAAAGTTACCAGGAGGATTCCATGATTACTGCAAATAATTTGATCCACTGAAGAGTTATACAGGCATAAATATTATGAAAGTCACACTCACAGGATTTAAAACTCAAAGTATTAGTATTTATCCAAATAAAGCTTAATCAAATTTCATATTTCCTCTATTGGAGAAAGCATTTCCTAATGTGATTTTCCTGTCACTACTTATTTTCCAGTTCATTTTTTTTCAGCTCCTACCCTGTCACGGTACTTATCAATCTTTGTTAGTTACCAAAGTTAAACAAATTTTTTCAATCAACTAGCCATATATATGTTTTTCTCTGACCCACTTTCCGTTACCACCATAAAACAATGACAGATAAACCACTGCTAAGTTTGAAAAGTAAATACTCTGCAAAACTACATTCAGAGTGAGAAAATTAATTTTACAAGAGACCAATTTACCTTAGCAGCAACACTCAAGACTTCGTCATCTAATGCAGGCAATGAATCCACACACAGTTCATGGAAAATGCTTGGGAGCAAAAATACACAATGAAAATGAGCAAGTTGATTTCTTTACAATTTTTTAACTGCCAGTTTATATCCAGCTTCCCCCTCAAAAAAGGAAAGAATAATCTGGGGAAAGGTCAGTGATCTATATATTAAATTATGATTCTTGATATAATTAAAATAGGTCCTCTGTTCTAAAAATAGATTTTAGTTACCTATTTCTGCCTCCACCTGTCTAAATCTATAAAATGTTCAATGAAAACTAACCTTCAGCTTCATAACAAATAGTGACAGTCAATATATTGGCAGAGCCTGACAATAATTTGCCCTCACAAATTATCTGTCCTGAAGCTGAACTTAAAACTCAATTAATGGATGACATAAATTTTGTTACCTAAACTGGAAGAAAACTGATGACCTAAAACAAGGTAGAAAGATCCACTGTCTCTTTTCCATAATCTATCTCTGGTTAAAAGACTAATCTGCATCACTTCAAATTGGCAGTCTTGATTCCTCAACATGGAACCCACTTAGGAATGTCCTATTGCTTTCCTTTGCCCTAAATCGGTACAGGAAATCCCATGCAATATTTGAAAGGTATGAAAGCTACATGTACAAAAATCAAATAACAAAAGTGTATGTTCTTATTGAGAATACTTTTCCCAGAAAGATTAAAATATTAGCAATTATAAAATCCCATTATTTTCACTCTATAGGTCCTACTTTATTCAGGTCCACATAAACTAGCAAGCCCTTAAAAATTTTCATAGGCACTCAGACACCCAAGGAGAGAGACTGCCAGAAAAACAGAGTCCTGGTAGTTGTACCTCTATTTCCCTAAGTACTATCTAAGTATCTGTCTTCCTATGGGCTCCCACTTCCAGATTCCACTTCTGCAGGGCTCCACAGAAGTCTCCAATCTTCAAATCTTCAGCCTATGAAAGCACAGATTCCTGAAAGGATGGCCTCAAATGACCAGGAGTAGGAGCCCTCTATATCCCTGCTCCTGAAAAACAAGCTAACTGGAGTCTCCATCACCTGCACCCAGCATAGACACACTACCAACTACCCAACTGAACTCCATGACTGATTTGCCAGCCAATCATGCCCCTGACCCAGCCTACATGGACATGGGAAGGACATCAGTGAATCGGGAACAGAGGCAGAGGTGAAGAGGCCACCTGTCCTGGGCCACACATCTATGTAGTCCAGCAATCTCCAGCCCCTTCGTACTCCAGGGGCTCTAAGCCACCCCTCTGAAAGTCAGGACGGAAGTAGATGACACTACATTTCTATCTGCTGTAGACACTCCTCCCAGTGTCTCAAAATGTTTTAGCATCTTTCAGTAAAATTCTTCAAGTTTGTCAGTCCTTGATTTAAACAAAAGGAGCGAACTTTTTAGAGCTCCCTTGAACTCTTTATCAAACTTCTCATAAACCCCAATATTTTGATCTCTTATTGAAGAGTCCATACTCCTATCCAATCCAGTGTTGTTTCTCTTCAAACTTGGCCTTCCCCTGCTCATTCCATTTTTATCTACTTCCATTGGGTTCACCAGCTAATTCCATTCTCATACTATCCACTGGGTGCACCAGACTCACTCCCATTTGTATTATTAAAGCACATGCAAATAGGATATAAAAAGAAGGAAGAGTACTGGGCCTCAAAATGAGTTCAAATCTCATTTCTGCCAATTCCTATGTCTAAAAAAAAAGCATCCTAATCTCTTTGAGCCTCACATTCTCTGAGAATCACTTGACCAGAATGTTCAATACAGGTAAAAATACTAGAAAGTATTTTAATTAATTCTAAGATTCCTTAAAATTCTGTAATTCTATGTCCTCTTGATTCTGTCTATAGGAAAACTGGGAATACATACCCAGCAGAATTTTAAAAAATAATAGAACAAAAGAAACAGCAAGAAAAGCAGAGAAGAAAGTTCTAAAAAATCAAGACAAGATTATAGAAAAGTCATGGAAAAAGAAACAAGACTAACAAAAGTATTATGGAAGTAGCAGAAATACTTGCCTAAATGGAAAACCAAACTGGGAAGTCAAATGATTTCTCTCTAAGACTTGCCTAAACTTGCTTTTGTAAAACTTACAGTCCTATGGCCAAAGCTAAGTAAGATTTGCCCTAAAGCCTTTGATGGTAAAAATAAGATACTGGTTACCACTGAAATTGTCAAATTTATCTGGACAATCTCTTCCACTAACCACATTCTAACAATAACCTTAAATGAGAGTTTAAGGTATTTAAGGTATTTAAACTCTCATTAATTTAGACATTAATTAAATTAATGAATCTGATTAATCTGATTCAGACCTATACCTTGATCCAAGTGCTGCATGGATGTCTATCAATCTATGCTGAGGAGCAAGAGAAGGGATTTGGAAGCCAGGCAGGCTGACGGTCCAACTGTAGGCCAGCTACTTTGTTAACTATGAGATTATAAGGCAATTAATCAACTGCTCTAATCCATAGTTGTTTATTTAATAAACAGTAGGTTATAGGAACACAGATGTTGTGATGGCTTTATGAGATGATAAATGCATAGAACATATTAGGATGTCTAGCCCAGAATATAACACTCAACAGATACTAGTTTCTTCCATCTATGTTTTCTTAGTTAACATAATTCTTTAAATCTATAAAATCCTACCTGACTGCAGATTCATCAGAACTTCCAACATCTATTAAAGAAAAAGGTAGAATGCATTTTAAATCAATAATAAATGTACAGAATATTAAAAGCATAAGAATGCACAGTGATGCATGCCTGCAATCCAAACTACTCGGGAGGATGAGGCAGGAGGATCACTTGAGGAATCTAGAAGTTTGAGAACAGCTTGGGAAACATAGTAAGACACTACCTTCATAAAAAAAGTTGTGCACACTTGTGTGTATGCTTTAGATCCTGTTTTTGTTGTTGGTGGTGGTGGTGGTTTTGTTTTGGTTTGTTTTTTAAAAGCATAAGACTGATGCTTTGTTACAAAGAATTCCTTTGGGAGCATGCCTGGGACCTTATTAGAATTAACATTAATTGTACCTATTGGTAGGTAATTAATGCAGTAAGAACTCTTCCCTTTGTATTTATTAGATGTAAAGAAGAATAAATTTATTAAAATTTGGTATCTACAAGTGAACTGCAGTATACAAGTCATCCTAGCCAAACCCTATGAGATTGAGTAAAAATGGTATTGTTAGCAGAACAGGTGTGATGAGTCAACAGTGTCAAAGAGCATGATTTCTGGACCAAAATATGAGGAGCAGTTAGAGGATACAGTAGTACCCCTTATCCACTGTATGTGCGGAAAGACATACTTGACATGTTTTTCTCTGCTCTCACGCCACAGCAACAATCATCAACAAAGAAGGCTTCTGTGACCAAATGTGTGGAGAGTTTTTCCCCACCAAAAAGCAAGCAATCATTCCTGCTGATGGCACGATTCAATTCTCACACCCTATCTTCAGATTACATCAGATTTAATTTATAAATTAAACTTTATCATAGATATGTATGTATAGAAAAAACAGTTTGTGATTCAGTACTATTCATGGTTTCTTGCATCCACTGGGGGTCTTGGAATGTATCTCCCACAATTAAGGGGGAACTACTGCACTTATTTTGTTATAACACAACACAGCCTCTCTAGCTCTTCAGTTCAAACTGTTCAGTTTAGGATAAAACACCCTATCACCAGAAGCCAGCAAAACATAGTAATCAGACCAGAAACAGGAATCCTTGCAAAAACTTTGCAGCTGCCAGTGGAGAAGAGCTCGAGAGAGACCACTGTGTTACTCTGGCTAATACTCTTCTGGGGAAGGTGCTGGGTGGTTTCCTTAGTTGTAGCTATTTGCTCTGCCCTACATATAACAAGGCCCATGTTCACCTGCCATTTTACCTCCCACAGAAAGAACCACTGGAAAGATCACTCCTTTAAGAGCTTATCCACATTCAGAGAGAAGCTTAAGAAACACTGGGGAGGTGTGGCAGGCTGCTGGGCAGTATTATCTGATGTGAAAAATATATAGAAAGAAAACTATCAATGCCCTTTTACTACCAGAATGTGCCAATGCTTGCTGTTCTCCCTAGTAGGAGAAAAAAATTCTTTTTCACCTCACATAAAGCAAAACTCCCTTGCCATCCCTCATAACAGAATCTAGTTGTAGGTGAGTCATGTCATCATAACACAGGCTGTTGTCAACCTCATCCCTCAAAGGAAGAGGATCAGTGAGGAACATATGTATTTACCTATAGCATTCACTGCCTGGTCTTATTTCCAACCGAAGGTAAGTATGAAAGACTTTGTGATTCCAGTTTTATAAAGTACAACCCCTTGCGCTTGCCCCCTTCCATTGCTAGACAGTGTATCTGGACCCACCTCACAGAGCAAGATGCTCCAGGTTGTGCTGTGTGGTACGGCGTGGTGTCCTTTTCCTCAACCCTTTCCATTATGTGCCAAATATCTATACAAATCATGTTTTCTAAGTATGTAAAGCATACCTCATCAGCATATATCATTCTTTACAATGATAAAAAAGCAAAAGAAAAACAAAAGGACAAAGAACATCTTAAATGACTACCTTCAATTGCCATGGAGCTTTGATTTTTTTAACTATTCAAAAAGATATCCACAGTATTATTCCAACTATATGACTCTTCTGAAAAAAGTAAAACTATGAAGACAGAGTAAAGATCAATGGCTGCCACAAGTTGCTAGGGAGAAAGGGAGAGATGAACAGGCATAGCATAGAGAATTTTTAGGGCAGTGAAACTGTTCTGTCAATAATATAACAGTAATAGATACATGTCATGTCATTATACATTTGTCCAAATTCACAGAATGTACAGCATCAAGAGTGAAGCCTGATGTAAACTATGAACTTTGAGTGATTATAATGTGTCAATGTAAGTTCATCAGTTGTAACAAATGTACCACACTCTGGTGGAAAATACTAATAATGGGGGAGGCTATGCATGTGTTGGAGGCATGGAATATACAAGAAATCTCTGTACCTTCCTCTCAATTTTGCTGTGAACCTAAAACTGCTCTAAGAAATAAAGTTATTGATTTAAAAAAGATATTCACAGCAGGGCTCAGTGGCTCATGACTGTAACCTCAGCACTTTGGGAGGCATAGGCGGGTGGATCACCTGAGGTCAGCAGTTCAAGACCAGCCTGGCCAACATGGCAAAACCTCACCTCTACTAAATACAAAAATTAGCTGGGCAAGGTGGCAGGCACCTGTAATTTCAGCTACTTGGGAGGCTGAGGCAGGAGAATCACTTGAGCCTAGAAGGCGGAGATTGTGGTTAACCAAAATCGCACCACTGCACTCCAGCCTGGGAGACAGTGAAACTCCATCTCAAAGAAAAAAAAAAAAAAAGATATTCACTGTTTATGCATCCCAGGATCTCCAGAATAATTAAAATAATAAAAAAAATATGGCCGGGCGCAGTGGCTCATGCCTGTAATCCTAGCACTTTGGGAGGCCAAGGTGGGTGGATCACCTGAGGTCAGGAGTTCCAGACCAGCCTGACTAACATGATGAAACCCCGTCTCTACTAAATACAAAAGATTAGCCGGGCATGGTGGTGCATGCCTGTAGTCCCAGGTACTTGGGAGGCTGAGGCAGGAGAATTGCTTGAACCCGGGAGGTGGAGGTGTCAGTGAGCCAAGATTCTGTCATTGCACTGCAGCCTGGGCAACAGAGCAAAACTCTGTCGCAAAAAAATTAATAAATAAATAAAAAATAAAGATATTCACTGAACCTGTTATGATGATATATTTAAGCAAGAGACAGTGACCCTAGAAATTGGAGATCATTGAAGACCAAAGTGACAGCATGTGGTCATTATATTTCTCAAATTGAAGTATATGAAATATATAAAATAAATAAATTTAATTGCATGCTTAGGTAAGAAAATATTGTTAAAAATGATTGAATATCTTATTTCATAATTCTAAACAGGGATTTAGCACAATATGAAAACTAGATTATTCATGTAATCAAAATAAAATACAATTTTTATTCTAATTTTAACTCAAAAATTATTATGCTTATTTAATTTAACAATTCTACTGAAAGCTTAATGAGATAAAAAGGACAGATTATAATTACCTAACATTGCTATGGTAACTTATATACAAATACCTGTTAGTCACCAAAAGTCAAAAAGTAACCAGCATTGCAACTTAAGATGGATCATACAACAGAAATTAGTACCAAGTTACCTTATCTTATAATATTATGTCTTATTAAAATGAAATTTTAAAACAAACCCAAAAATTAAATTGGGGCTATAAGCGTTGTGCAGAAAAGATTTCATATAGCAGGCAAGAGACTGCCATCCTTAGAAAGGCCTGCATGCAAGGCTGGCCCTTGGCTGGTGTTAAGGAAATTGGAATTGGGAGGGTTTCCACCATTCCCTGAGAAGAGTGGCTCACTGTGTCTAAAGTGTTTATAGAAACAGTGTGGTTACTCTGAACATCTGCTTTCCTTGTACGAGTCTGGAATTTGGGTACATGTAAGGCAGAGTAATTTCCACAGAAAAACTTGGATACTTCGTCTCTAATGAGACTCTGGTACTGGTAGACATCACTGCACATATGTTGTCAAAATGTGGGCCTGGGAGAATTAAGCAGATCCCGGGCACTCCACAGGAGAGAACTCCTGGAGGCTTGAGCCTGGTTTCCTCCAGAATTGACCACAAGCACCTTTTTCCTCTACTAATTTTGCTTGTCCCCTTTCTTGTAATCAATTAAAGATCTGAGTATGACTATTTGCTGAGTCCTGTGAGTCCTTCTAGTGAACCATCAAACCTGGGGTGGTCTTGGGAAACCTTGACACAAATACATTGTGTAAGATTTGTATTAAGTTGATATGATATATGTAACTGTAATCAGATGGCTATTTCACAGAATAATTTTCCCTAAACTGTTTTTCTTTTCTTTTTTTCCCTTGATATTTGACTTGGAGATTCTTGTATTTCTATATCTATCCACAGGAATAAAGCCATAAAAGGAATAAATGACACAATAATATCAGAAAATAATGTGGAATAAGCAGCAATCCTATTTTAACTGAATAAAAAACAGAGAATCTGGGTGATTGACAATATGTTGTACAATATGAATGTTTCTAGAAAAAATAATGAAAAGGTGGTCAATTTTCTGCAACTCAACTGGGCTTAATTCCTTTTTATAATAATTGTGCAGGTCAGGTGCAGTGGCTCACACTTGTAAATCCCAGCATTTTGGGAGGCTGAGGCAGGAGGATCACTTGAACCCAGAAGTTCCAGACCAGCCTGGCAATATAGTGAGACCTCATCTATTAAACAAAAAAAAACAAAAAACAAAAAAAACCTTAAAAAGAAAATTAGCCAAGTGTGGTGGTGCATGCCTGGGGTCCCAGCTACTTGGGAGGCTAAGGTGAAAGGTGAAAGGATCATTTAAGGCCAGGAAGCAGAAGTTGCAGTGAGCCAAGATGGCACCACTGCACTCCAGTGCAGAGCAACAGAGGGAAACACTGTATCAAAAATAAATAAATAAACAATTGTGTATCAGGCCAGATATAACCATACAAAACTGTAGTCCCAGCTACTCAGGAAGATGAGGTAGGAGGACTGCTTGAGCCCAGGAGTTCAAGGCTACAGTGAGCTATGTTTGCACCAATGAATAGACACTTTATTCTAGCCTAGGCAACATAGAGAGACCCCATCTCCTATAATAATAATAATTGATTAATTGTGCATCATTCAAGTAAATTGTATAACTGGAGAAAAACATATGACTATTGAATATACTATAATAGTCTACTACTGATCATAGAGTTTCTGTTTACTTGCTTCTAATCTTTTTCTTTGTTTCTTATAAAACTAAAAACATGATTCACCCATTAAAGGCAGTTCATTACAGAACAAGTCAAAAAGTCAAAAGAATTGCATCCAAACTGTAGAATGTGTTATCCACCACTCCCCGCGAACAGTTGGATTTGGTCATTAAGAATCAGCAGGACTTTTAACTTGGTGTCTGTGTGCACATGCGTGCGCACATATGTATGTGTATATGTGCATGTGTGTATGTGTATGTGTATAAACTATGACAGATAAAACCATTTTGCTTGTGTAAGAATATGTAATATAACTTGTGCTTCTCATGAAGGAATTGCTTTTCTGTCTTCTGTGCTCAGTAGCTATCCTCAAAAAATAATCTCTTATTTGTATGGGTGCATGCTGGTTCAGTTTTACAGTTCTTATTGCCATTTATTTATGGTACCAGAAAGGAATTGCTGAGTTCCTGGTTCTAAAGATAGTTACTTTCTTAGTGACACAAATCAATATGTAATACAGTTCACCCTTCAACAGCAAGGGTTTCAACTGCAGCGACTCACTTATATGCAGATGTTCTTCTGCCTCTGCAACCCAGAGACAGCAAGATCCACCTCTCCTCTTCCTCCTCAGCCTAATCAACCTGAAGATCTTGAAGACCTTTGTCAGGATCTACTTAATGCTTTATGAAAAGTCAATATATCATTCCTGATGATTTTCTTTCTAACCGCTTCATTTCTCTAGCTTACTTTATTGCAAGAACACAGTATATAATAATGCAGCACAAACAAAATAGGTGTCCACCAACTGTTTATGTTATCAGGAAGGCTCCCAGTCAATGGTGGGCTATTAGTAGCTAAGGTGAAGGAATCAAAAGTTATACTCAGATTTTCAACTGCACAGGGATCAGAATACCTCACCCCCACATTATTCATGGGTCAACTGTAATTATTTGTTTACTAAATATAAACAATTTATTATAAAAATGAAATAGAAGATCCATTTGTATAACAAGTCCAATTTGTTATAATGTGACTATAGAGGAAACATACAACATACTAACTTAAAAGTCTTTTTTCTTATTTACGCAAAAATATTACATAGGATTTTAGGGATCATAATTAAATAAAGGAATTTTTTCAGACAATCATGTTTGAGATTATAAGTTAGCTACAACTACCTTCTTAAATAAATCTGAATTTCAAACTAAAGAAGTTAAATTTTAAAAATTAATTTACATATGTATATACATATATGCACATTTAATTTACATATATTTTTAAACTGGTCTTTTTTTATTAACACTACCTTAATCTTACATCTTACTTTTTACTTTCTAATCAAGAGTAGGAACACCAAGAGAAATAAGAAATTCACTATCAGAAGTCTTACCTGGTTTGTCATTTTTAAGTATCATCTTTTTATGTTCCAAAATTTGTTGTTGAATTCTACGTATACAAAAGTAATAAATAAAATTGCTATTTTAATACTGAAATAAAAAATATTTACCAAACATATTAAATTCTAAAACCATTTCAGGCAATATCAGACCTAATATCAGAATTTTAATATCCCATATACTTCAAATTTTTAAACCTTACAAGCTTATTAAGCTTATAATTAAAGAAGAAAAAAAGTGAAGTACTCATAAATGGAGGAAGCATAGCTCAGTAAATGAACTCTAGTTAGCTGGACATCATGTAACATGTCCTGCACTCAGAATAAATCCTCACTCTGTAATAGATATTTTGTTTTCAGACAAGTTGCTTCTCTTAGGCTCCCTGGTTTCTTCTAAAAAATAAGGATTTTGCTACCTTACTTCAGTAGGTTGTTAGGAAGATGTAATAAGATTACATGTTTAAATGTTCAGGAAATAGTAAAGCAATGGAATGATTTATTCTTGAACTTTATTGCTTGGTGTGTGTTTTTCTATAAGTTCTAATATTCAATTGTTGCAGTTTTCAGAAAATGTTATTAAGTGCTAATTTTGGTTATTAAGTTGTATTCTTTGTGGCTTGTAATTCAGGGCATTTTACCTAATTCATAACTAATCTGATTAAAATAGATTACCTAATTGTCTCCCATCACTGAGCTCATCAATCACACCAAAGGCAGAAAACTAATAGGTGTCAAAACCTGGGCTTGGACAACTACCTCTCCTTCTCTACCTCCTCAAACTCTGAGCCAGCAGATCTGTGCTAGGACGCTGGATCTCCATGGTCCTCTCCAACTAACAGATGAGACAAAACCCTGCTTTTATTGTTTTTCACTTCCATGAAGGAAATGCAAGTTGACATTTTGTCATTTCCAAGACATGTACTAGCAACAAGTAACATCCCCTTATTACTCAGCTCTGTTCTCATTTCAGAGATCACCTTACATCAATAGTTTTATAGTGATAATCACAATTTCAATATTGGGTGTCTTCTGTTTTGGTTTCACTCACACTGCTTCCTTGGAGCTACTCAACAAATAGTCAAATGACCTTCCCGGGACTATGCAAAATATGGAATGCTTTCTGAATTTGTGTGCCATCCCTAGGCAGCAGCCATGCTTACCTGCTCTGTATTGATCCAATTTTAAAATATGTGCTGCTGAAACAAGTACAAAGCCCTGTTTGATAAATGGATACTCATGAGTTATGGATGAGGCTTAGCTCTGTTAAATCTAACTCACTGACTTTAGATTCAGAGAATTTTATTGAATGGCTTCCTGTGAGGTAGAATTTTAAAATACATTTAAAACTCCTGGAAGAGTTGTGATTAGCCCAGGAGATTTTCATTATCATAGAGACACATTAATTGAGGGGCCAATTGCAAGTTGGTTCCCACTACTCGGTGGAAAGATAACATGGAACCTTCTGCTATCTAACAAAAGCTGCTCCACAGGATGTAAAAAGGCCTCAAGGTACAGATCTGATAGCAAAAGGGAAAGGGAACCCTAATCTCTTCCTGCAACATGATTTTAACATCCCTGACTGTTGAGAGCAATCCCAACTAATATTGGTTAAAGAACAGACAAACACGGGTCTCAAAGGATAACTTACCATGAATGCCTAGGCTAAGTCTAGCTAAGATGTGGGCTCCAAATAAGGTTTTTACTGTAGGGTGAGGATCAACTTGCTCGACATTTGTGTGGGTAAAGCTAGGAGGCCTAGCTGCCAGATCAGGGTGCTGGGAACAACGACTGAGCATAAGTACATAAATTAATAAACACCGTAGCTTTGAACTCTATGTGTGAATCACCACAAAAACTGAGGGGTCTGAATGAGTGAAGGCATCCTGGTGGCAAAGGTCAATCATTATCAGATTGCAGGACTGGTTACAATGGCAACAATACAGGAAGTGAGACCATGGAAACAACAGAAAGATCAGAATGGCCTTTTTCCCCCTTCTTCTGACTTGTAAAGAAAGATTGCCTTCCTTGGACTTAGGAAACCCCTTAGCTTCTTGGAAAATTCAAAGAAGGAAGACACAGGAGATAGCCCCACGGGAAAATACAAGATTTTCTGCTAAATTGGACATTTCAAGACCCAATAACTAATTAGAAAAGTCAGGCCAGGCACGGTGGCTAGCACTGTGAGAGGCCGAGGCAGGTGGATTACTTGAGCTCAGGAGTTCAAGACCAGCCAGGGCAACAGAGACCTTGTTTCAAGGAAAAAAAAAAAAAAAGAAAAGAAAGGAAAAGAAGTAAAAAATGTGGCTCTTTTTATCCCATGCATGGGGATTATACTTAGAATAAAATGAACAACATTGAGATCCCTAGGGATAAAGGTCTTAAAAATCCTGAAAACATCTTGCACTCTACTTCTAACTAATCTAGACTTCTGCTTGATTTCTGGCTAAAAGGTAGACTAACTCATTGCTATTTCAAACCATCTGAACAAAACTAGGAACTCTCACCTAATGTATAAGATGGAATAGTTGCAATTATTTTAAACTTCAATTCAATATTAACTGGCCTTTTAACATAAACACTTACTTTGTCAAACAGCGAGAAATAGCGTAATCTTCTGCATCTTGTCCACACGTCTTGAGTAAAGACATTAATATTTTGTTTAAGAAGGATGTTGACAATACCCGGTGAGTCATAGTGCACAGCAAGCATAAGGGCTGTTCTAAAATAACAAGGAAATCACTCCACTCAAGAACTTTAATAAAGACTTTTTTAAACAGCTAGTTTGATACACTTTACCAATTTAATATCCACCTGTCAGTGTAGACATAATAACATTTTGCATGTACTAGCTTGGGTCTATAAGCATCTAGGGTGCTCAGGTGTTCATCTTTATAAATTGTCACCAAGTCTAAAAGAAAAGGACAATAAGGAAGCCTCCTGTCCCACTGGGGTATGACATAATACAAGTTGCTAACTCATAGTCCTTTGATGGCCAAGAAACTGTGCTGAGGTCACTTATCTAAAGCAGGTAAAGATTTAGATGAAGATTTCCCCATTGCTTTCCTAGTCTGATATATTGTAATTTATATCAGCTAGGGGTCAGATAAGAGCTATCTGCAGACTGAAAACAACAACAACAATAATGATGATGATGATAATACTAGTAGTCATAAACTAAAAGTCCACACTTTAAAAATTAATAAAACTGGCCAGGTGCAGGGGCTCATGCCTGTAATCCCAGCACTTTGAGGAGCCAAGGAGAGCAGATCACAAGGTCAAGAGATCGAGACCATCCTGGCCAACATGGTGAAATCCCATCTCTACTAAAAATACAAAAATTAGCTGGGCATGGCGGTGCGCGCCTGTAGTCCCAGCTACTTGGAAGGCTGAGGCAGGAGAATCGCTTGAGCCTGAGAGGTGGAGGTTGCAGTGAGCCAAGATCACACCACTGTACTCCAGCCTGGCAACAGAGCCAGACTGCATCTCAAAAAAAACTTAATAAAGCTAATACAAAACCCTTTAGCTAATAAAAGATTACAGTACCAAAAACATCCAATTATAAATAACAAACACTCTGTATTATAGGAGAAGATGAATCCTACTATATACTGTTCTTTATGTTACTCAGTCTAAATATTTGCTGATCTATCTGATTATTCATGGTGACATTTTTCACTACATGCCAATAATTACATTAATCTTCTTATTAGTATTTCTGACTTGAGTGACTGTTACCACTCTAGAATACTCAGGTTTCATTTAAAAAGAACTACTGTACCATCTCAGGCTATCAACGGCATGTGTACTTGCTTTGTTTTTCAATAAAAATTCCACCATTTTCTCTTTCTTGCAAATTATAGCGAATAAAAGTGGGGTATTATTGTCCTATAAAACAGCAGGAAAAATTAATAATTCACAAAATTACATATTTCTCAACTGAACTGAAAATCTTCTCTAAGGTGCTTTGAACTTCAACATACAATATACAAAGGAAGTAAATGAAAAGCAGTCCCTTCCTTCTCACTCCTCTGTGCTTTCTGATGTGCTGCTTTTTGCCTTGCAAACAACCCTCCTCTGTCTCCCCGGATTAACTGTGGTCATTGCCAAAACTCACTTTAAACATTTACCAGTCCCAAGAATCCTTGCTTTGATCACAGCACTTAGCATGGTACATTGTAATCATTTCACTGTGTCCCACTGAAACCAAGAGCTTCTTGAGGCAAGGGCTGTATCTTTTGTCTCTATAGCCCCAAAACCCTAAGACACAGTAGCAAACATTTTAAGTTTTTTACATAAATTAATGATCTAAATTATTCTCACTAAAGCAGTGTTTCTTAAACTATATTCCAAAGAATATTTGCCTTACCAGAAGTATTATACCCCAAGAGAAAGACTCCATGACCATCTGCATTTGAGAAGTATTATAAAACTGTATGTTATGTCCAATAATCAAGAAATCTCTTGAATTTTACCTAATCCCCATTTGACAATACTATTTGTGGCAAACATTAACATTTGAGGAATTAAGAGTTTTAGGGGTACAGTTGCCAGAGCTTCCCAATGCAGGTGGAGGTTTTTTCTGGGTGGTACAAACTTGCCTGATTCACTTCTATCAATGGTGTCAGGATCCCAGATGCGAATGTCAGGCACTCCTGCTCCAAATGGGTCACTATGGAAATGAGCTTTGAATTAAGAGAGATTGGCTTCAAATGCACTTATTTTCCTTATTATTAAATAGTCCATGGGTTTTTTCCCTAATACAAGAGAATAGATTTTTATCTTTACTGTTTGAAAGCTCAGTATGTTCTGTGTAAGAGAAATAGGTTTAAAAAACTTAAGAACAAATATTTAAAAAACCAAAGCTCAGTAAGAAATACTATTCTCAATTATAATGGTAATCCCGGGACCCCAGGGCAGCTCTACTTTTTAAATCCATTTTTATTGGCTTCCACTTAAAGGGCTACTTAAAATTATTTTTTATTTTAGACAAAATATAAATCCGAAATAAAAACATAATGGCTTATCAAAAAAATTCTCATACTGATCCATATGAATTATTTCTCGCATAATAAAAGCCAGTAAGTCACTTGCATTTCTAAGGAAGAGCACTGAGGAGAAAGATGTAATGTCTGCAATATTCATAAATTATCCAACTATAACCAGGAATAACCTAAAAAGGCTTCTAGGCATTCTTATGGGCAGATAATTATTTGTGGTATATATAAAGAAAAGAGTTTCAAAAACTTCTAAATTCTAAAATTCAACTCCATAACTGAGGGATTTATATACTCTATAGACTATATAACAAATACGTGCTGACTTAAAAACCTTGAAATCTTTATCGAAATATACTATAACATAGGAGTTGTAAACTCAAATACTTACAAGGACAAAGGAAGGTTGCCTGAGTAAAGGAAGTACTAAGGTGGGCACAGCAGCAAACTGGAGAATACCTGCCTTCTCTAAAGGGGCAACCTCTGCACAACAGACCAAACAGTGATAGAAACTCAGGGGACACCAGATTTGATTTTTTTGAATAAGCCTGAAGTCCAGATATCTACACCAGTCTTCTAAATTTTACATGTTGATTCAACTTACAGAGGCAAACAAACAAATCTGTGTACCACATTAGAATATAGCCCTTGTGTTTTTATATTCGCTATTAAAGTGTTACTAAATGGTTGTGTATAATCCAAGTATTTGCATGTAAAATATTTTCTTTCTCTAGTATCATGTTTTACCAAAAAATCAGACTCTCATATATAATAAAAATTGCTAAAAAAAAAAGACTCATAATACCTGCTTCGAGAATTTTTCCAACATTTATTCATTTAAAATATATTTGTATATAATTTTCCCAGATTGTTAACCAAATAGATAATTGGTTCATAGGACTGCTAAAACTAAATTATTAAAAGAATTCATATCTGTATTTTTATTAACTCCATGGACTTCAGTGTTTAAAACTGACATTTTGGTTATGCTAAAGCTCTATAAACTTAGCAAACATACTGAGCTAGTTCATAATACAACTTCAACTAAAAAAAATAGTTTAGGATTTGCTACTATTCTAATTGAGAAAGCCCAACTTGTAATGAACATTTGTTGACACATAATCACCTGCATGGTGACAAAGGGACATCAAATCATGAAAGGATCAGCCTCTACCTATTGAAAGATTACCCATAAGCAAATTTCTAAAGACTCTGAATGGTAGTGAATGATTAATTGTGGGAAGGAAAAGGTGTTATTCTGTAAGCTGAGAGATATTGCCAATAATATTTCCTTTCACTTCCCAGTCACAGACGTAGAGAAAGACAGATAAGTCAGGCTAATATTACTGAAAAGGAGAACTTTGAAGTAGCACCTATCAAACGTCAATTCTTCTAGAGATTTCTTATGTTTCTGAGATACAGAAATTTATAGGTTGCAATTATCTATTCTGGGGTTCTTAATCAGGAGTGTATCCAAACCTTGAGGGGTTTTTTTGTTTATTTTTTTGCTGTTATTGTTGTTAGAGGCAAGTCTCACTATGTTGCTCAAGCTGAACTCAAACTCAGGCTCAAGCTGGGACTACAGGAACATGTCACTGTGCCTAGCTTCAAGAAAACGTTTTTAAAAATATTCAGACCTTATTAGGTGTATTACATCAAAATCCTCAGGGGAAAGCCTACAATTGTGGATTTTTAACAAAATGTCCTCAGGTCACTGTAATGCACAATTCTGAGAATTAGTGCAGCAATCACTTCAGTCTCATCTCTCACCCACATGGCTAATTCCCTTTATCAGTTGGACATGTGGCCAAAAAGAGAAAAGAGTAAGAGATAGTGTCATTTATTAAAGCTCCAGTTAAGTTTCCTGGGTATGGGTAGAAAAGAGACAAGTAAACTCAAAATCCCACTTGATTTTGCTATTTATAAGCTCCTTATCTCCCACCTTCCCACCAAGACATTCTAGGTTTGAGAGGAGTCTTTAGACTCTTATCTAAGTGGCTGTTTCTGCCAGGATGGACAATAAGTCAGTTAATAATTTGTTCCACCTTCTGCTGAAGTTTTTCTCACCTCATCACCACATATTCACTGCCAATCTAGTTTCCTCAGAGTCCTCCTAAAATTAATCTCTAGGCAAGTTTCAACTCACTCTCATTTTCAAACCAAAAATTATTAGACCCAAAGCTAAAGAGCACCTTGTCTCAACACATAAACTGGAAGAACAACAAACTAAGAGAAAAAAAAAAAAACTCTTCTTGGCATTTTCCCTCATTACCTAATTTCCAAGTGACCTGCATATTTCTGATTGCTCTCCTTTTCCCTTCCCATTTTCCCCTCTTAAGCCTTCTTGTGCCACTGAGAGATGATACATCAGTTTTTCAGAAAGTTAGCAGCAGCAGCAACATGTCCACTTATTGTAAGTTGCTTTAGTTTTGTTTGAGTTTTAAGATAAAGCCTATTTCCAGGGCATAATTTCTTTCCTGTGTTGTTTTACACTAATTGGTGGGGGGGGGGGGGGGGGGGGGCAGGGAAGGAAAGAATAACCCTCCACAGAAAAAAAGTTGAAAAGGTTTTACCTTTAACAAATTCACAAATATTTTCCAAAGTGCATTTTATAAAGCTGTACCCTTTAATGCTCCTTTAAAAGTATCAATATTTAAAATAAAATCTTAGACAATTATTTCAAAATAATTTGCATTTGCATTCAGGGAATGGTTGAGCTTCCAAATATAAAAAATTGATCCTTACCTACGTGAATGTTAAAACAAATATTTTGAGAAGAAAATTGATTGATCTATACCTTGTCCAGTGCTTCAATATCTGCATCATGGGAAAGCAGTTTTTCTGCCAGTGAGGTGCTCTCACTATACGTGGCATAATGGAGAGCAGTGTTGCGGTAGATATCCTTAAGGTTTGGATTGGCGCCATGTTCCAGCAGAATAACGGCACAAGCCTCTTCCTGGCAATGGACAGCCTGTCCGTATTAGACCAAGAAATAGATTGTAAACTCTAAGAAATTCAAAATACACATTCCACAGGTTTCACCAACTAGTTATATTTAAATGAGATCAATTTATTTTAATTCTATGTATGCAAATCAAATCCAAGTCATGCTAAAAGAGTTGGCTCTAATATACCTGTATCAAAGGCGTTCTATTTTCTTTGTCACAGATATCAATCTGGCATTTTCTGCTAACCAGGAGAGTGACCACTTTCACATGGCCGCTGGCACAGGCCAAATGTAGAGCAGTTCTACGAGAGTAAGAGGACTTCTTAGGAAACTGTAGTGCAACATCTCAAAACATACAATCATTCATGTAACTGTAAAAATTGAAGAGCATGTTTCTCCTCTGCCTTCAAAACAAATACTTATTTTTTTGAAGAAAGTACAATACTTACTAGCTCTTATTGCTCACTGCCTTAATGAAAACAGCAGCCTATCTGAATAGAAAGAGCTCAGTCTTTGGATTCAGTTCAATTAGGATTTGAGTCCTACTTTAAATCCTGTCACCAACTATTTCTTAGCCTTTCTGTGCCTCAACTTCCTCATTAATGAAGATGACAATAGTAGCTATCTCATAGGACACCACTGTGATGCTTAAATGAGAAGCTATGTATTTAGAATAGTTCCTACAACAACTCAATAATTGTAAGATTTTTGTTTTTTGAGACAAAGTCTCACTCTTTTGCCCAGGCTGGAGTGCAATGATGCAACTATAGCTCACTGCAGCCTGGAACTCCTGGGCTCAAGCGATCCTCCATCCCCAGCCTCCTGAGTAGCTGGGATTACAGATGCACACCAGCATGCCCAGCTATTTATTTAAAAATTTTTGTAGAGTAAGAATCTCACTTTGTTGCCCAGGATGGTCTCAAACTCCTGGCATCAAGCAATCCTCTCACCTCAGCCTCCCAAAGTTCTGGGATTACAGGTGTGAGTCACTGCACCCAGCCAGATATTATAATTGTTACTATTACTACTATTTAACAAAAAAATTTTAATTAGGTAAAAGATACAATTATACCTACTTTGCAGGATGGCTTAAAGAGTAGGTCACATTTTAATACCTCTGACATTGGAATGCCACTTATATTATTATAACTATAATTGGTAGCATTTTTAAAACTATCTTATTGATATATAAAATAGCGGGGTATCACACAATCCATGAGACCTTACATTAAGTAGAATATGGTATACTCAGCAGGTCTAGGGCAGTTCTAGGCATATAATTGGCACTCAAATACATTTTAGTTCTTAAAGGTACTATGGGGAAAGAGCACTGAAATAACAATGCATTTTTTTAAAAAATTAATTCCTTCATTTTCAAACAAATTGAAGCCAAAGGAAACTCATGATTCAAATGAATACATATGGTTCATTTTATTCAATACTTATAATACTTACAGAATATATGCAAATAACACTTTCCAATGATTAATATTAGTATTTAAGACTGATAAACTTTTCAAAGAGCAGTTAAAGGTTATCTTCTACTATTTTCTAAGTTCAGAAATGCTTTTGTTTGAAAAGTGGGACACAAAGTTTCAAGGAGATTAAGTCCCAATATTCCTATTTTAAATCTCTCAGCTTGTGCAGGCAGGGCAGGTAAACATGAAGTTTTTAAGGATAGAAGCGTCCTGAGAGATAGTAGAATATGTCTGCTACATAACAGGTACTCAAGTTATGTTTGATGAATAAATGGAATGGAAGAATGGATAAATACAGTTGGGGAGATCGATATTTTTAAATAAACTCCTATAAAGCAATATTTTTGCAATAGTAATTATTTATATGTTATTTTTATTTTTAAAGAATACAATTAAAATGAAATTACTAATCTATCATTGTTTGCATAAATTGAGTGAATATATAAGAAAAACATGTACATAATAACATATACAGATAATAAAATCTGGAAACAGATAAAAACATTCCCTTTTTACTTCTGAAGAGGCTAGAAGTTCAAAGAAGATAACAATACACAAAATAATGATAAAAAATAGAAAGCGAGAAATTATTTTTAATATTGTAAGATTCATATTCCTCTCTTCCCAAGGATTATTCCTTTATTAATAAACTTTACTAGAAGTTTTGTACATGCTCACTGCAGCAATCACAGATAAGAAAAAGGAAAGGAACTTTACTTAAAATACAATTGCTCAGAAATCACAAATTTTATATTTTGTACATATTTTTTGCTAAAACAAGACCATAGTATATTTGTGTGTATGTATAATTTAACTGATTTTTTTTCCTCGCTAGCTATAACAAAATACATCTTCGCACATCAATGTACTTCTGTATCTATTGCAACCTTCAATGGTCACATATTATTCCATCCTAGGGATGCAACTGAAATTTATTTATAGGATCCATTCTATGGGTTCTTTTTAAAATAAGTGTTGCAAAAAATAAAGTGCATGTATCTTTATTTCCTAAGTGTGTTTTGGTATAACGGAATTGATGGGTAAAGGGCATACATATTTTTTAAATGTAGTACTTACCACCGAATTACCTATTTGAAAAGTAATCAGCAACTTAGACTTTAAGCAGGAGTGTAAAACATCCTCACAAATATTGTGGATAGAAAACTGTTTCATTCCTCTTTTAATTTAAATTCTTATACCAGAAAAGTGAAGGACTTTTTCCTACATACACAAGTAACTTGTAGATCTGGAAAAAAGTACTTTGCCCAATTTTAGAGTTTTTGATGATTTGATTTGAAAGAATTCCCTGTAAAATGAAAATGTACTTTTCATCTAATGTGTATATATACATACAACTTTTCATCCAATGTGTATACATAACTGATATATATATAACAGATTATATCTGTAATATATATGGTATATGTATCAGTAATATATATATCATACGATATATAATAAACAATATAGGCCGGGCACTGTAGCTCATGCCTGTAATCCCAGCACTTTGAGAGGCCGAGGCAGGCAGATCACTTGAGCTCAGGAGTTCGAGACCAGCCTGGCCAACATGGTGAAACCCCTCTCTACTAAAAATACAAAACTTAGCCAGGCATGCTGGCACCTGCCTGTAATCCCAGCTACTTGGGAGGCTGAGCGAGGAGAATTGCTTGAACCCGCGAGGCAGAGTTTGCAGTGAGCCAAGATTGTGCCATTGGACACCAGCCTGGGCAAAGAAGTGAGACTCTGACTCAAAAAAATATATATATATAATGAATTCCCTATAAAATGAAAACATACTTTTCATCTGAATATATATATAATATAGTTAATATTTTTCAAGTAAGTTCTCTTTTGTTGTTTTTTTTTTTCTGAAACACAGGCAGTTTTAATTTTTAGTTTGCTAAATCAACCTTCAGAATGTCTGCTTATGAGGTCATTCTTAGGAAGGCTTTTGTCAACATAAAGTGTACCTGCAAAATAAGCGTTTGTGTTTTCTTCTGGTACTTTACTCATTTGCATATGTAAAAATTTCAATCTGTATTCCATCAGGAACTTTGTTTGTGACATAAAATTTCATTAGTTTTCTTCAAACAGCAGACTTTTTTTTATTAATAATTCATCCTTTCCTACTCATCAATCCTTATGTATATCTTACATAATTTCAGTGTTTCTGGGTTGCCTATTCTGTTCCATGCGTTTATCTGTCTTTTCAGCTGTTAGTAAACAATTAATTGTAGAAATTAATAGCACACTTTGATATCTAGAGGAGCAAGTGTTTTTTCACTCCATTATGAAATTTTTTAAAATGTCATCACAATAGCGAAAGACAGCAGGTGTCATACAAAAATCTTAAAACCTTGATATTTCCATTCGGTCTATGTAAAATTGATTAACACAGAAAGAGCTCACATTTTGGGGAAAATGTGCCTTCCCATTCAAGAACACAGAACCCACCTCACCCTTTCAAGTTTCTCTCTAAGAACCTTCAGTAAAGAACCTACCTACACAGGAGGATACGGATGTAAAACGGACAGTTTTATCTGAGAACTTTTCACCTACTGAAAATAACTCACGGTATTTTTGAGAGGGAAATGAGTTCTCTCATTAGGCACCTCCTATAATGTATATAAACCATGTTTTAAACGTGTACGTTAAAAATAACAACACTGTATATGCTTAAATTTGTGAGTTAAATCACTCAAATTCTCCACCAACTGCTCCAGCCAGGGAATTATAAGGGATGGAAAACAGCTGAGGGTCCGTTTGGCTCCGCCGCTCAGAGGGTGCCCGGCGCCCTGCAAGGCCCCGTCCCAGGGGCTGCCGGAAAGCCGCGCCTGGGGACCCCCTCCCACCCCGGGCTGAGCCCCCGCTACCTTTGCTGCTTGCCAAGGGCGTCCAGGTCTCCGCTTCTGCGCGCCAGACAGCGCTCCACCTCCGTGGCGTCGCCCCTGACAGCCGCCTTGTGGATCTTCTGCAGTTCGGAGTCCCGGATTCGGTACCCGGAACCCGTGTAGACGTGGTGTATGGAGCCCAGGACCGTCTGGCCCCTGCGGCTCCCGAAGCCGAACAACTTCATGGTGGTGACTTCTCAGACCCCCAACCACCGGCTCTTGAGAGGGTGCAGCTCCCTGTCACCTTTTCACTACCACCCCCCGCCCCCGCCGACCCAGCCCCAAATCCCCTATCCAACCCCAAATCCCCGATCCAACCCCCAATCCGAGATCCAACCCCCAATCCGCGATCCGAAATCTATGATCTCCAAAATCCGCGATCCAGCCCGGTCCACCACAGCCTTCAGCAGCGACACTCGCAGCCTCCGACCTCTCAGACCTAGTGAGCCTGGCAAAGCCGTTGGGCGCGCGCCTGCACCGCGGTGGCCGCCGGGCTCCCGGAAGTCGCTGGGAAGCGGCACGCGCTGGCAGGTGGGGCTGCAGCTGCGGGCGGGCACTGCTGGGCTCGCCGGTTCTACTGGGCTCGCCTGGGCGGCCCCAGAATCGCACGCGCGCAGCCAGCCCGGCCTGAGGAGGAGGGCCTGTCTGCCCTTGCGGCCCGCACTGCTTCTCCTCGGAAGGGAGATCGGGTGCTGGCAAAGGCACTTCGCGGCCACCGGAGTGTCCTCCAGGGCACCCCCCCCCCCCCGATAGCGCCCCTAACCCGCCGCCCGCTGTTGGCCCCGGGATGGCGCCCCTAACACCCTCCCCTCGCCGCTGCAGCGTAGAACCCAATAGCTCCCCCAACCCGTCCCCGCCTCAGACGCTGCAGCACCAGATAACTCCCCCAACCTGCCCCCTGCCGTGGGCCATGCAGCCACGGATTGGACCCGCAACCAACCCCCCTGCCGCGGGCAGTGACGCCCCAGGAAGCGCTGCAACCTGATCCCCGCCGTGAATAGTGCAGCCACGGATCCTTAAGGCCCCCAACCCGCTCCCCACGATGGGCAATGCAGTCCCAGATAGCGGATAGCACCCCCAACCATTCCCCAGCCGCGGGGTATGATGCCCTGGATAGCGCACCCAACCCGCACCCCCCGTGGACGGCTTAGCCCCCGACAGCTCCCCTAACCCGTATGCCACTACCGAGAATATGGTCCCGATAGCGCACCAAACCTGATCCCCGCCACAGGCAGTGCGGCAGCTGATAGCTCCCCTAACTCGCTCCCATTGACCGCAGTACAGCCCCCTAATGGTGGCCACAACCCACCACACCTCCCCACCCGCCACTGGTGGGGTATCGCCCCCAAACTGTCCCTTGCCGCTGGCAGTGTAGCCCCCAATAGCGCACCCAACGCCCCCCTCTATCATGAGCACTCTAGCCCGCCACAGCGCCCGAAACCACCCCCTCCAATCACCTCCCTGTACCCCCCTTTCCCGCCCCCCACCCACCTGCAGTGTATCACCGGATACTGCCCCTAACCTATCCCCTGCCATATCCCTGCCATGCATGATATCTCACTGCGGTTTTGATTTGCATTTCTCAAATGAACAGTGATGTTGAGTTTTTTTCATATGATTATTGGCTGCATAAATGTCTTTTTTTGAAAAGTGTCTGTGTGTCTCCTTTGCCCACTTTTTTGGTAACCCTCAACTTTCATAGATTTTAGCAACATAGAAAATAGTCCTGTACAATAGAAAAATAATAACAGTGGCTGCACAGGTTGCATGACTACCATCAGGCACAGAAGCCTTTTAAAGTACATTATGTATCTTATCTCACTTAATTCTCTTGACAACCTCGTGGGGTAGGTACTAGAAAGAAATAAAATTAAAATGCTATTGAACAAGTTCTTAAAATCTCAAAGGAGTAAGAATGACTTTTTTCTTTAAATGGTCCTTTCTGGAATTCCATAGTGAAAATAAGAATCATTCATTTTATTAACATTTATTGAGCCAATAACAAGAAAGCACATTAATAAGGATATTACATGTATTATTTAATTTTCATAACAAGCCTATGAGTTAAAAATTACTATTATTTTTATTTTACTGATGAGGGAACTGAGGTTTAGTGAGGTTGAGTAACTGTCCACTCAAATAGTAAGAAACAGAACCAAAACTGAACGTCCTCCTTATGTCAGTTTGTTTACAAAGTTTTATGATATATTTTTAAAGGCTCTATTCTTTACAGAAGAGTGCACGTCCTTTAAAAATTCATGCGCATCCTATTGTGCAAAAGTTTCCTTAGGTATATAGCGATAAGTGGTACTGACAGATCACAGGAAATACGCATGTTCAACTTCACTATGAAATGCCAATCAGCATTCCGCAGAAGTGTTACAATTTACACCCTCATCAAAAGTGAAGGAGAGTTTCTGTGGCCCCACATTCTTGCCAGCACCTGATACATTCTCATAGTTCAATTTTCTCTAATTTTATAGTTTTAATTTTCTTTACCCTGGTTAATGAGATTGAATATCTTTTCAAATATTGATAGAACATTTTTGTTTTGTCATCTTTGAAGTTTGTGCTCATTGATTTTTTTTTCATTTGTCTATTGGGTTTTCTTTTCCTTTTTTTTTTCTTTTTTGATTCACAGAAGTATCTAGATACACTACACACTAACCCTTTGTTGTTTACATGTATTGCAAATATCTCCTCCAAGTTTGTAGCATTTTTTATTCAGTCTCTTTATGGTACCTTTTAGGAAAGAGAGATCATTGGATATTTTCCTTTATGTTTTGTGCTTTTTGTATCCATTTAAAGAAATCTTTCTCTACTAAGAGGTCCATCAGTTGCGAGGTTTTCTTCTAAACATATTATAATTTTTCCTTTTATCTTCCTGAATTTGGTTTGCATGTGGATGTGAAGTAGAGATCTATGATATATATTTTCAGAGCCCCACCCATACTCCTCAGCCCCTCCCAGATCTCTCCCAGAGCTCACCCAGAACTTTAGGGAAGAAGAACTCTACATTTGGTTTTCTACCTTAGGCATCTGATTGAGGGTATTCTCCGGCTACTGAGGCAGGTTTGGCTCATACACAGAACTGTCTGGAAAAGGACCAAAGTCCCAAGAGTGACCATCAGCCTAAGAAAGAAAAGTATCCGAACTTCTTCCTATGTATGAAGTTCCCCACAATGCTAACCAACCTCATTCAGCACAATGATAACCAACTTTCAACATACATGCCTTCACCCCTGAATGGGACAATTGTAAGGTACTTTTTACAGTGTCTCGGAGATTCAGCGTAGACTTGAGCCCTTGTTCTCCACAATGGTAACCAACTTATTAACATATATTTTATTATTTTTCCCTCCTCTAATTTATTTCCTCACTCACTGACTTGCTTCCTGAGATCACCTACCAAATAAATATTTTTATTTGAATTATTGGTTCAATTTTGGTTATTGCAGTAACCCAAAATGTTCTAGAAAGCAAACCTTCATGATGAGATACTCTAACTAGGTTACTTGCCAGTCAGATGGCAAAGGGTTTTCATTGCTACAATAAATGGGATGGTAATGAACACTTTTATGCTTCAGTATCGCTTTACTGAGACTCTCACCTATGGTGGAGTGAGAGGAAGCACAGGTAAAAGAGAAAACACTGACATATACATATTTATATATATATATATATAATATATATGCATTCTACAGAAGTTCTACAATTTGCACACACACACGTGTGTGTAAGTCTGTGAGAAGTGATGTTGGCTGGGTTTTTCAACTACAGTGGAAGGATGAAAACAAACAAAAAACAGGCTCATGTCACCCAAATATTAGCTTAGGGCCTGCTATGAAAGAAGAAGGCCTCTACTGTGTCTTTAAAGAGACTCTTACCTCCTGCAGCCAGAAGGCAGAATATGCTGAAAATCAGGATTAATATTTGTTTGTAAGGATGCTAGGAGTTAAGAAGCAGCTGAATTAATAGCCATTGCAAGTCTTCTATGTCAAAAATAGAGACGAGTCTCAGAGGGAGATATCTGAGCTCCTAGATTGCTCTGAGTGCTATGGGCCAGCAGAAGAAGACCCCTCTCCCTTGCTAGAGAAGAGCAGATTCCGTAATTTCAAAACCACAGAAAGCTGATGATTCACAAGATGAGTTTGTTCTCCTCAATACAAAACAATTAAATAAAATTCAATGATACAGTAAATTCAATGTCTCACCTTATTGATTATATCTAGGTTCCTGGAGCCAGTCCAGATACACTGCTAGAATGGCACCTTGCTGCTTGGAAATGATGCTTCCACATCAGTAGCTCTCAAAGTGTGGTCTACAAATCCCTACATGTCTTACAAACCTTTCTGGGAGTCCACAAGGTCAAACGATTTTCAAACTGAGATGTTTTTTGCCTATTCTGCTTGGTTGACATTTCCACTGAGAGTAGCAAAGCAATGGTGTATTAAATTTCTGGTGCCTTAGCAAAAAAGTTAAAGCAGTGGCACCACACTGCACTAATATTCCTCACTGCCAATTTTTACGGTCAGTTTTTCGAGGGTTTTATTTCATGAAGCAGTTGAAATCATTATTAATTTTTAAAATTGATCCTTGGGAACATGTCTTTTTATTTTTTATTTTTTTATATTCAATGTGACAAAATAAGAAGTATGCATAGAGGTTTTACTGCATACCAAAGTATGAGACTTTTATCAAGGGAAAGCACTTCTGAAATTATTTCAAAATTATTTCCATAAAGGGGCTGAACAAGCCCCTTTAATGGAACAACACTTTGCCTTGAAATAACAATTGACAGGCATATAGTGGTTATTCCGACTTGGTTATTTGGCAGTCATTTTCCCAAAAATGAACGAAGTAAGCCTGCCACATCAAAGAAAACAACTGATAGTATTTGTGACCAATGATAAAATTGGAGGCTTCAAGTAAAAATTAGAACTGTGGCAAACTTCTATGTTACACCTTGAATTTGACCCACTTCTCAGTACTTAAAGACTTTTTAATGAGACTGGTGATTTTATTAAATAATGTGACTTTTAAAATATTGTACAATGGAATACATCAACATTTTGAAGATCCATATAACTCAGTGAGCTAATATTTTCCAAATGTGTGATGTTACAAGACCATGCATAGCTAAAGAATTTATTTAAGTTTCGTGATAGACCAGTGAATTTTAATCCAGCAGAAGATGAAAAGTTCATGGAAATTATTTCAGATTCCCTATCACAACTGTGCTTTAAGAAACTACTACTTGCCATGTTTTTGTGTACTATTGAAGAATATTCACAACTATTTGAAAAGGCTATTATAGTATTCTTCCCTTTTCCAACTACATATTTTGTGAAGCTTGATTTTCTACATATATGTCAGCCAGAACAGCATTTAAGTACATACTGAATCCAAAAACAGAAAAATCTAGCTATCTTCTGTTGAGTTTGGATCAAAAGGCTTGCAAAACGTAAATGAATGCCACTGTTCTCACTTTTATTTTATATTTAAAATTTGTCATAAAAATATATTAGATAAAATACATAAGCTTTACAGAAATGGAGTGCTCGCTTCAGCAGCACATATACTAAAATTGGAACAATACAGAGGTTAGCATGGTCCCTGCATAAGGATGGCATGCAAATTGGGGAGGTGTTCCATCTTTTTTTATTATTACAGTAGTCTGTATTATTTCATATCCAAAAAACAATGATCAGTATGAAGAATGGGATGAACTAATCAATACTGTGATTGAAGACAATAGCATTATTTGCCTGGGAAACTAAAGACAAAACAACTGGAAAACTATTGAAATTGTTGAATGAGTCAATTTGCTACTTATGGAATAAACATACACTGCATTCACAGTAACATATACTATATATTATGGAATTAAAATCACATTTCTGGCTGGGCACAGAGGCTCACGTCAATAATCCCAGCACTCTGGGAGGCCAAGGTGGGAGGATCACTGGAGCTCAGGAGTTCAAGACCAGCGTGGGCAACATAGTGAAATTTCCAAAGAATAGGACTAACTCCACGTGTAGCATCTACATGTGGACAAATATGAGTGTTTCCTGATTAAATAACCTAAGTGTCACCCCATGAATGCATGTATACAACTTTGTTGGATTTAAGGCTCCTCATCTCAACCCCACTGGAGGCAAACACTATAAATGTAAATTATTCAAGAAAGTCTCATCCAAATTAATTCACGTAAAACAAAAACAAAACAAGAAAAATTTGCCACATCAAGGTAATGCTATAAAATGTGTAACTACTGTCTTCATCAGTGACTCACTTATAAAGTAGATCTGAACTATGGATTACTACTACTTACTTTCATAAAAAAAAAAGATGTGAGATATTTTTGTAAATTTTCTTTACCCAAAGGTTCACTGCAGCCATAAAAAACAACAAAATCATGTCATTTGCAGCAACATGATGCAGCTGGAAATCATCATTCTAAGCTAAACATTGGGTAAAGGTGGACATAAACATGGGAACAATAGATATAGGGAAATAACAGAGAGGAGAGGATGGGAAGGAGTGAAGGTTCAAAACTACCTGCTGGGGGCTTGGGTACGGTGGCTCATGCCTATAATCCTAACACTTGGGGAGGCCGCAGTGGGTGGATTGCTTGAGTCCAGGAGTTCGAGATCAGCCTGGGTAACAGGGCAAAACCCAGTCTCTACAAAAAATACAAAAATTAGCAGGGCATGTGGCCCACCACTGTAGTCCCAGCTACCCAGGAGGCTGAGCTGGGAGGATCGACTGAGCCCAAGAGGTCAAAACTGCAGTGACCAGTGATTGCAACATTGCACTCCAGCCTGGGGAGCAGAGACCTACCCTGTCTCAAAACACTAAAACAAAACTACCTACTGGGTGCTATGCTTACTACCTGGGTGATGGGATCAATTGTACCCCAAACCTCATGTAATACACCCATGTAACAAACCTGCACACTATTATTATTGGGAGAAAAAGAGCTAATTTAGAACAATATATATAGCTTGACCCAATTTGAGGAAAAATTTTACATTTGTTTATTTGTTGATAACAACTATCAATAAAGGACTAAAACTGTGTACTATTCGTTCATATAACTGAATACTACATAGCTATTAAAATTAATGAAGTAAGGCAGGTGCAGGGGCTCACACTTGTAATCCTAGCTACTCAGGAGGCTGAGGCTCAACAATCACTTGAAACTGGGAGATGGAGGTTGCAGTGAGCCAAGATTGTGCCACTGCACTACAGCCTGGGTGACAGAGCAAGACTGTTTCAAATAATAATAATAATAATAATACACATATATCAACATAAATGTCATTTTTCAAATTATAGAATGTATGTACTAAAATATCACATAAATTTGAAACACAATACTACATGTTAAATATATTTAAATATTTGTAGGAAGAATATAAGTGCATGAAGCTAAAAAGTAACTTCTACATAAGAAAATAGGATCTAAGAGGATGACAAAAGGGACTCCAACCGTATGCATATTTTAATTTTTAAAAACAAATATAGGCCAGGCACAGTGGCTCACCCCTGTAATCCCAGCACTCTGGGGGGCCAAGACGGGCAGATCCCGTGAGGTCAGTTCGAGACAAGCCTGGACAACACAGTGAAACTAAAAATATAAAAATTAGCCGGGAGTGGTGAGGAGCTCATGTAATCCCAGCTACTCAAAAGGCCGAGGCATGAGAATCGCTTGAACCTGGGAGGTGGAGGATGCAGTGCGCAGATATTTTGCCACTGCACACCAGCCTGGGCAACAGAGTGAGACCCCATGTCAAAAATAAATAAATAAATAAAAACATATATAAACACATCTTTGAAGCAAATCTGACAAGATGTCAGCATCTATTAAATCTACTGAATGGGCCGGGCGCAGTGGCTCATGCCTGTAATACCAGCACTTAGGGAGACCAAGGCAGGCAGATCACGAGGTCAAGAGATGGAGACCATCCTGGCCAACATGGTGAAACCCCGTCTCTACTAAAAATACAAAAATTAGCTGGTCGTGGTGATGTGTGCCTGTAGTCCCAGCTACTCGGGAGGCTGAGGCAAGAGAATCGCTTGAACCCAGGAGGCAGAGGTTACGGTGAGCCAAGATTGCACCACTGCACTCCAGCCTGGGCAACAGAGTGAGACTCCATCTTAAAAAAAAAAAAAAAAAGAAAAGAAAAGAAAAGAAAAAGAAAAAAAATCTACTAGTACATGGTGTTTGTTAAATTATTCTCCATTATTTTTCTAAATTTTTGAAATATTTAAATTTTACTTTAAAAAATAAGCTGAGGTTGTGGAATTCAGAGACAGACAGATTCTATATGGGATTTGTAGATTCTTTATGGGATTTGTGTGTGTGTATTTGACAAGCCTGTTATTCTGTACTATAAAATTTCTAACTAAAAAATATACATATTATTAGGTTGGTGCAAACGTAACTGTAGTTTTTGCATTGTTGAAATTTGCTATTTGATACTGGAATACGTTCTTAAATAAATGTGGTTATTTATACATCATTTTAATGCACATTTCTCACCTTTTTTTGCTAATAATGTATTATTTGGTGTTTTTTTTTAGACTATGGAAATTATGTTAGACAAAAAGCAAATTCAAGCAATTTTCTTGAGTTCAAAATGGGTCATAAAGCAGTGGAGACAACTCGCAACATCAACTACACATTTGGCCCAGGAACTGTGCGGTGGTGGTTGAAGAAGTGCTGCAAAGGAGACGACAGCCTTGAAGACGAGGAGTGTAGTGGCCGGCCAGAAGTTGTTGGTGATGACCAACTGAGAGCAATCATCGAAGCTGATCCTCTTACAACTACACGAGAAATTGTTAAAGAACTCAATGTCAACCATTCTACGCTTGTTTGGCAATTGAAGCAAATTGGAAGGGTGCAAAAGCTTTTTTTTTTTTTTTGAGATGGAGTCTCACTCTATCACCTAGGCTGGAGGGCAGCGGCATAATCTGGGCTCACTACAACCTCTACTTTCCGGGTTCAAGCGATTCTCGTGCCTCAGCCTCCCTAGTTGCTGGGACTACAGGTGACCACCACCAGGCCCGACTAATTTTTGTATTTTTAGTAGAGGTGGGGTTTCACCATGTTGGCCAGGCTGGTCTTGAACTCCTGGCCTCAACTGATCTGCCCGCCTTGGCCTCCCAAAGAGCTGAGATTACAGGCGTGAGCCACCACGCCCAGCCAATAGGTCAAAAAGCTTGATAAGTCGGTACCTCATGAGATGACCGAAAATTTTAAAAATCGTCATTTTTGAGTGTTGTCTTCTCTTATTCTACGTAACAACGACGAACCATTTCTTGGTTGGATTGTGACATGTGAAAAAAAGTGGATTTCATTCAACAACAGCGACGATCAGTGATGACCAGCTCAGTGACTAGACCAAGAAGGCGCTCCAAAGCACTTCGCAAAACCAAACTTGCACGAAAAAGAGGTCAGGGTCACTGTCTGGTGGTCTGCTCCCAGTCTGATCCACTATAGCTTTCTGAATCCCAGTAAAACCAATACATCTGAGAAGTACGCTCAGCAAATCAATGAGATGCACCAAAAACTGCCAGGCCTGCAGCCGGCACTGGTCCACAGAAAGGGCCCAGTTCTTCTCCACGACAACAACC